>NC_000004.12:137103199-137406229 GCF_000001405.40 Homo sapiens | reverse complement strand
TCATCACATTCTCAGTTCACATTAAATTTGAGATTTAAAACTTAACTTGTGGCTGGGTGCAGTGGCTCATGCCTGTAATCTCCGCACTTTGGGAGGCAGAGACAGGCAGATCATGGGCGGTCAGCAGTTTGAGACCAGCCTGGCCAACACGGTAAAACCTCATCTCTACTAAAAATACAAATAAATAAATAAATAAATAAATAAATAAACAAACAAATAAATAAAAATACAAAAATTAGCCAGGCGTGGTGGCAGGCACCTGTAGTCCCAGCTACTCGGGAGAATGACGTAAAAGAATTGCTTGAACCCAGGAGGCGGCGGTTTCAGTGAGCAAGATCGTGCCACTGCACTCCAGCCTGGGCTGTCTCAAAAACCACCACCACCACCACCACCACCACCACCACCACCACCACCACCACCACAACAACAACAACAAACTAACCTGTATTATGAAAGAATAAAGATGCAACAAATACAAAAAGAATTCAGTAAAATCTTGGGCATTCTCTATCTATATGCCTATGACTATGTTTATGTCTATACCAAAAGCAGCTGCTATGTTCCAAATATTGTACCAGGTACTTACACATTGATCCTTATAGCAATCATAAAGCACATATAAGGGAAATCCCTTGAATTGTTCATAAAAATTCCCTAAATTTTTTGTTTATGAGTGGGGTGAAGATTCCCACCAACATTGGGGCAGGAGGACTAGGTACAATCTTCCAGTCTTAATCCATATGTGCAAATAGATGATAGAGCAGAACTCACCAGAATTGAATAGCAGAATTGAATGCTTTAGCTGCTTATCTATAATTGAGCTCAGTTTTTATTTGTCTCTTTGTCTTTCTCTTGATATAAAAGCAAAGTCTGTATAGCCAGTCTTGTTCTTTCTCAAGTATTTCAGATTTATAGTTAAATGAAATCCAGCTTTCGATTTAGTCTCCCTAATTAACTCCTGTTATGTTACATACATATCAGGTGTAAGCATTTAAAAGTATAAGTAAGGCTCTATCATGTCTAGTTTAAAACTCCTAGATGACTTTCTATTGCATTTAGAGTAAAATACAGACTCTTTATTTTCAAAGCCCTACATCTTCTAGCATCTGTGTACCTCTCTGACCATGTTATACCACTCTCCTATCTGTTCAATCTTCTCCAGATACACAGGCTTTTTTTCAATTCCTCAATAATACCAAGCTTGTTCCCTTTTACTGTCCTGGGATTATCTTCCCAGCACTTTCCATGTGACCAGCTCCTCTTCGTGTATCAGCCCAAACAACTGCCCTGCCCTCCTGCCACATACACTAACCCAATATGAAGTAGGCACCAGCTAATTTCCATTGCTGCTTATTTTTATTTTTTTATTTATTAGAGACAGGGTCTCACTATGTTGGCCAGGTTGGTCTTGAATTCTTGGCCTCAAGCAATCCTCCTACCTTGGCATTCCAAAGTGCTAGGATTACAGGTGTAAACCACCGTACCAGGCCTGCTCCTTATTTTTAATTCCCTGCTTGAAAACATATTTTTATGTGTGTGTGTTTTGTTTCCCCCTACATAGATCTGTATGAATTTTCAAAAGAAAGAATTTAAAACATTGCCCAGAGTTTCACAATTAAGAGATGGAATTGGGGGCCAGGCGCAGTGGCTGACACCTGTAATCCCAGCACTTTGGGAGGCCAAGGCAGGTGGATCATCTGAGGTCACGAGTTCAAGACCAGCCTGGCCAACATGGTGAAACCCTGTCTCTACTAAAAATACAAAAATTAGCCGGGCATGGTGGTGCTCACCTGTAGTCCCAGCTACTCAGGAGGCTGAGGCAGGAGAATCACTTGAACTGTAGGCGGAGTTTGCAGTGAGCCGAGATAGCACCGCTGCACTCTAGCCTGGGCAACAGAGCGAAACTCCGTCTGGAAAAAAAAAAAAAAAGATGGAATTGGGATTTAAATACATGTAAATTAATTTAGTGCTCATCCATTAACCACTATTTTGTATGTTTTGAGAAGACTGTGGTAGAGAATGTGAAATACTGTCAAGAATAGTCACATAGGATAGAGTTTATATGGTTTAGTAAAAAAGTTATTGAAGTTTGCAAAATCTGCTTATTTTCTTGGAGTGGTGGGTCAGATACCAAATTGTATTCAACTGTGGATTGAGAAGGAAACCAGTTTTGATGAAATCTATGTAGTGACAATGTGTTTGAGAATGAAAGAATGAAAGGAGACTTCTGAGGGAGGAAAAACTTGTCTCCTAGATGTTGATGAGAAACCAAAAGAAGATTATGAGGTTAGAAGAGTGGTGAGGGATATTCCGTAGAGCCAGGTTCTTATAAGAATGAGAGGAATGAAAAGGAATGAAAGTAAATGTGAAGTGTCAAAGAACAAATTTACAATAATTTGAGAGAAAGACCGGTAGTTTAGTCTAGCAATTAACAGTAAGTAATTTGGAGTTAGACCTACTTTAAACTTTGATTATCATCAGTTGCTTTCACTGTAAAACAGAGGACTCAATAGCTACTTTAAAGAGTCATACAGATTTGAGAAAATCAGAGTGAAATACTTATTGGAGTGGTTAGTATATAGCAGGAACTCAATAAACGTTAGCTATCATATGTAATGGTTAAACAGCTTATCAAAGATATTCTTCTGGTAGGTACTGACCAAGACTTGAACCCTGAGTACAAAGCCCAGTTACTTAACCACTATTCACTCTGTGCTCCAGGATGAAGTGCTCCTTAGATATCTTCATGTGGCTTTACCTCAAAAGGGAGCATGTTTTCTCTTGCTTACAAACACAGGCATGGCAACCTTTCCAATATTGTTGGTACAATGTTTTACCTGAGATGTGGAAAGGGAAAGACAAACACCAACAAAGATGTGCTAGGAATGAATCATTGAGGGTGAAATTAATAGCATTATTGAAATGAATGCTGAATTCTTATTCATCTATACTACAAGATTAATTGATGCCACCTAATCTGAGGACAATTATGTCACTCTTCAAGAAACAATTCAATTGCAGACTGTCATATTTTTCCTGTAATAAACATGCAGTTAGTGGCAAATGAGATTCAAGCTTGAAAAGACAATACCGATTAAGGTATGAGTTAAAATCAGAATGTCAGACACATGTAGTATATTCCACATCTGCTTTTGCCCTGTTTATTATTATATGTTCTATATATTTGTCTTTTTTTCCCTTAAGAGCATGGACTTCGGAGTCACTTATACCAGATCAGGTCCTTTATTTACACTGTAGATTTTGGAACTTTAAGGAAGACAAGTCTCAAAGCCTTATTTCTAATTTCATATTTTCAACTGCCTACTTTGTTCATTTTTCCCAAAGCAAATACTACATCTGTAATGGTAATTTTTATTAGTAATCTATTATAATACTTTCTCCCCTTTAAGTCTTCTAATATCTTACTTTTCTTGTGATGGTTTTCTTTTTATCCTAATATATCTTTCCAGGTAGATTGTGAAAATCAGAATGCATGTCCAAATCATTTTTAATCAGATATAATTATTAATTCAATGACTATTATAGGAAGTTGTCACCCTAGAAATGTGTTGACAGAAGAAGTTATATAAAACTTGGTAGATACATTTATTAATTACATGTATCAATGAAAACTAAAGTGAAGATTTGATGGGGGGCTTTGGCAGTTATCAACAGATCAACAGGTTAATTATATTTACAAAATCACTATTAAAATGCCTTTGAATATTCCATAGTCACTTATTTAAGGAAAAAGAAGGCATACATTTTAAATGACTGCTCATTATTTATATGGGTTTGTTTTGTTTGTTGTAACGAAAACAGTTACCACAATGAATAGCTGTATTATTTTGAGATAGAGCATATCTATTTTTATCATCGATAACATTTTTCAGGGAAAAGAACCTCATTTCTATTTATTTCTACAATGCCATATGTGGAATTACCATTTGTTTCCTAGAATAGCATATTTGTTTTCTATTCATAATATAAAATTCATTTATCTTTAGCTTGTGATTCACTATCAACATATGTCAAATTTATCAGTCAATTAGACTGCCATTCAAGAGTTGAGAAAATTGTATTTTCACTTAAAAGACCTAGTAGTACACCATATCTTTTATATTTATCATCAACATCATACTACCTCTAACTAGAAATATAAAGCCAAATAAGTTTGGATGTACCATACTGATTGTCAAGTCTATAGTCTCTAATAGTTTCTATTCTGTACCTTCATTATAGATTTTTTTTGGCATGCTGACATTATTAATAAAGTGCTTTCAATTACACTCAAGGAAGAAACTGTAAGCATCAATGACATTATTGAGTATTATAAACTGAAAAATCCTATTTAAAATGTGGTTCTAGTAAATACTAAACAAAACTCTCATTTAACAAATGATATAATGTTATATGTACTGTTAATTTTCTAAACTTTAATATATCTAATATAATATATTGAAATTAATTTTCATTCCTAATTTAAGGGTGAAGGATAAAAAAGATTTATTTTTTTACAAAAAATCTTTACTGCGTTCTAGAAACAACATATCATTTTCAGATATAACACAAAATATGTAGAAAAGTGAAAAGAACTATAATTTTCTTTATGACTGAATAAAATTAGAAGTACAAAGAGAAATATATTCTTAATTAAACATTTTTTACTGGTTAAATTAAATACAAAATTAGATGGGTTTCTAACTGGCTTTCTTCAATACATTTTGCAGTAATTTATTATTTGAAATGGTCAAGTCTTTTTCACCATATACCTTCCTTAACCTGGCATCACTATTGTATTTAAAAATTGAATCTGCTTCAGAGGCTTCTGGCTTCTTATTTTACAAGAGATCTGGTTAAGAAAAATACATCGTTGGAACTATAGAGCATATCAGTAAAGAGTAAACGTAGTATCTATTCATACACAACATTAAAAATAAGTAGAGTCAATTATTACAGAAGTCTTAATTAAGGGCAAAATGCTTGCTTTAGTTTTGTAAAAATAGAGTTTCCTCTTTTTCTATTGGGAAAACCAGACGAACAAATAGGTGATATAGTCGTTGTTATTAGTTTTGTGTAAAGGAACAAAGGTGCTGAGCATAAAATAAATTTTTGAAATTATAATTAAGCCACAGTACTGGCTCCAATCAAAAAGATCTGTGGTGTTATCCAATCGTACTATTCACAATCATGAAATTCTTAAAAATTAATATTTACATATATGTTTTATTTTTTATTAAGGTCTATTTCAAAGACTGTAATACTGATAATAACATTGATTTTCTTTATCTCTATGTGATGGTTTAGATAAACCTGAGATGCATAGCTTATGATAAGATAATTATTCTCTCAAATAATGTCTTGATTTTGATAAACTATGAGATCCACAGGGTAGGAACTCTGTTCATTTTTGATTTGTAGTTACAGCTCTAACTTTCAACATTGTGTCCAAACCAAAAAAAACTTCATAAGTGTATATTAAATAAATGTATTAATACATTTGAAAATTATGCTTTCTTTATTATGATTTTATTAGTTAAGGATTTGAATACCGTATGCATTACATGGAGCCCCAATTATTATTATTAAGACACTTGTATTAAAAAAGAGAAATGTTAAGTTCCACAACTATCTTAAATTAGACTAAAAAAGAAATGTGATTCAAAACTTCCAATGTTCAAGTCAGTATGGGCTTAGCCTCAAGAGACAAAGAAGTACTTTCTTTAGATATATAATTTAAAAAAGGTTTAGAGAGAATCTCTAATTTTCCATGGAAATAAAGTCCCCAAAATTGCAGTTGTCCATTTATAGCGGTTTCACAGACTCTCTAGGAGGAACTCACTTTTTGTTGAGTTTACTACAAACATTTAGACTCAATTTTAAAATGTCACCTTTGCCTCCCCAATTTAGGATACCATCAGAAAAACAAGATGTATTTATTCAGTTTTTGGATTTATTATAAGTGTTTTCTTTCTTGGCTAAATGCCCAGCTCTTGCCTACCAGAAAAGCAAAGAAAACAAGGAATTATTAGCTTATGTTAACTGTTTAAGCCCAAGTCATTCCAAAGCTAAAAACATCATATTATACTGTAAAAATTAATTTAACAAGAGTAAGAACCAAGTCAGAAGATCACAGGGAAAGGTGTTTTTCAAAAAGTTTTTTAAAAAGCTACTGATAATGAGTTTCATGATGCCACTCCATGATGTGCTTGGAGACTTCAGACAAGCCACTTGACACCCACAAAGCCAGATCCTGCTCCTGTGCAATCTTGATAGCACCTTATTCTTCCTAAGTGAAAGTGCAAAGTGTGACTTTAAATAATATCTTTTTATAAATATGTCTAAATTTACTCCTTCAAAGGAGCATTGTCCTTTAAAATGGACAGCTTGGGAGAGGGTCTATTTATTCCATTACACAAAGATTTTGGAAAACCTCTCATATATTTTTGCAAAGATGTGAGTTGTGCAAAAATAAAAATCAATCTTAGAACTATTAAAGTCACAGACTATTTGGGGCCAAAAATGGCACAGCCCAGATCCATCACTTACATTATTCATGTGTCTTGGTCCAGATGAGTTCCATCTTTTTCCTCAGATGAAATCCAAATTTAAAGTGCAGCACTACTTGGTAAGTCAATAAAACATACCACAGACTAAAAAACTTCTTCCAAAAGAAGTTTTCTGAAATGCCTAAAGAGATGAGCCCACCACAGGACTGGGACTATAAACTTTACTGGAATACAGGCTTAAAAAATCAGCCCTATATATGTTTTAAATTTGCATTTCATAAATGGAGAGTGTACAGTAAACGTTAGAGTCTCTTGCTTTTTCTTAAATTCTAAAACATGTAACACATACATAAAATTGTACCGTAAGAAATAATTTAAATTTGTGAATCTTTAGCCACCTACCGTGAAAGGCTTAAAGTTTTAAGTGGGAGTCAATAAGCAAATGTCTGGCTCTTCATTATGCCTAGTGATGAATCAGAAGCAGAGCCATGACATGAATAGAGGATTCTAACTGGGGCCTGTGTCAGGCTCTCTGATACCGTGTTGGGCCCAACTACACCCATTTCAGTCCGTTCATTGTAAGTAGTTATCTCAGACATTAATAATTTAATGCCAATATTTTAGACCAAATACCAAAGTTTCACCAAGGCAGTTGAAGGAGATAGTTGACATATGAAAATGAGCACAGAGTCATATACTAGCAGTGAAAATACTATCTTCAGAGAATATAACACAATAGCAATAAAGACTATTTTCAGAGAAAATAAAATAATATATTTTCTTCTTCCTGAAATACAGCTTTAAATTGGAAGTCACTGTATCTTGCAAAAGTATGAAATACTGCAGGCAATATTTTTCAATTATTAAATTAATTTGAGGAAATCGTTGATTTGTATTTTCTTTTTTTGGAGATGGAGTCTCGCTCTGTCGCTCAGGCTGGAGTTCAGTGACGTGATCTCAGCTCACTGCAACCTCCGTCTCCCAGGTTCAAGCAATTCTCCTGCCTCACCCTAGGAGCTGGGACTACAGGCGCCGGCCACCATGCCCAGCTAATTTTTTTTTGTATTTTTAGTAGAGACGGGGTTTAACCGTGTTACCCAGGATGTTCATCTCCTGACCTTGTGATCCGCCTGGCTCGGCCTCCCAAAGTGCTGGGATTACAGGCTTGAGCCACCGCACCCAGCCTGTATTTTATTTCCAATTGCCAAAAACATAGGCAGAGCTATTTTTTTCCTGTGCACTTTCCAGATTTTGAAATGATTATATTTCCTTAAAATAAACTCTAAATAAAATCAGATAAATAAGCTCAATATATGTCAAGTTAGATCTTAAACACATTTGATATTTCAGTTTATCTACTGAATATCATATATCATACTCAAAAGCTAATATTAATCTACAAGAGTATTTAGAAACCATGGGTGGAATTAACTTATCTATAGTATATAACTTTTTAATATCATTACTGGAAATTCTCTTTTTCTGCCACTGGATCTTAGAGGCATATAAAATCAAATGCTAGGATCTTAAAACTATTACATACATAAATATATGAATCATGTATTTATGATTTATCAACAAATAGTAATTGAACACCTACTGTTCGTAAGACTCCATATAGAATACAAAGAAATAGTTTATGTCCTCGAGGAATAGTTTTTTTTTTAAGACGTGTACATGAAATACATAAAGTATTTTCTGGTAATACAGTCCTCCAAAGCTATGTGAAAATTTAAGTTTCGAAGAATCAATAGAGAAATTACAAGGTTATCAAGCAAATAAGAGAAGAATGCTAAAAATTTTAAAGTTCTGAAAATATTTTTTGTTCTAAACACTAAACTATTATGAAATTACTTTCTAAGGATGGATTCCAATCAGCAATACCAGTTTTAAGCTATAGCCTGTTAATGTAGCACACAGTATTGACTAATTGAGTAAAGAAAAGTTATGGAAGAAAAAAATGGACAATAACAAACCATTCACATTTGTTTTTTGATAACATAGTCAACGAGTTATTTTATAGATAAACCCCAAACACTGTTACAAAAGAATAATTTCAGAATTGTCATGGCATTGAAATGACTTTGATAAACATTACAGCACTGAAACATATTAAAGAATAAAATATTTATATCATTTTATTCAGTGCTTATGATAAGAAAGCAGGCAAACGTTTTTATTTCTGTTTATAGTCCCAATTATTGTAAGTACTTGGCTTATTTGTTCTTTTCCTTATTGAATATAGAAATATAAAAATCTGATGAGAATGAATGCTCCTGTGAAATGTTGGTTGAGAATAAAGTGGATATAATAGACCAGGCTATTTTCACTAAGCTATTTTATATTTTTACTGAAAATATCAGTTGTCTTCTGTGGCCAAAGAATTAAAGTTAGGCTTAATATTAAAGTTTGAGTTGCTCAAAACTGAACACCAAATTGATATGGGCATATGTGGTAAGTGAGAGTCAGCTAATTGCTATGAGAATTCTAAGAAAACCTGATCAATTGGTACAAAGTTCTGTTTGTGATTATTTGGACTTAGAAGATGAGAAAAAAAGAACGTGCATATGTTTGTTTCATAAAATTTATACAATAGGATCAAAAAGAAAGAGTAAATTTTTTTTTACTGGCAGACACATACTATGAAAGTATTTTAGTTTCCAGTGTTGATAAAATTCATCTCATTAAGAGAATAATGCTCCTGGTCCAATAAGAATCCAGTCCCTGTCTCTAACAAATATACCTAAATGTATGTTAGTCATAGAGAAGAACTTACTTCTGGTGTAACAACTTAAGGTATACTTCTGATCTGCAGATGGAGGAAAGCATCACAAGCCATCTGTGAGCACAGATCTCCCAGCATGACTTTTATCATCTGAAACTGCTTCTGGATGTTTGTATGATGGACTAAGATCAGCTAGATTAGTGATTTTCAACTGGGGGTGATTTTGGCCTTCCCCCAGGGGACATTAGAAATGCCTGGAGACATTTTTGGTTGTCACGACTTCAGAGTGTGGGGGTACATTCTACTGGCATCTAGTGAGGAGAGGATGGAGATGCTGTTAAACATCCTGCAGCATAGAAAATAGTCCCTCATAACAAAGAATTATCTGGCTTCCAATGTCAACAGTGCCAAGGCTGAGTAATTCTGAGCAGAGCCATTGTTTTCTCTCTGTTGACAAATAGCTGAATTTGGGGTCCCAGCTACTGATAAAACTATGGTCTAAGAAAAGCCTCATGTGGCCAGTATCAGCCCACCCTTACCTAGCCATAAGAATTTTCTGTTTTATATAAGTGGAGGAGAAATCGAGTTGGGATACACAAGTGAATGCCAGTAATTCTTTCTTTGTCAAACTAATTTATTCTCAATTTAAAGGACCTTTTGGTAAGGGCACTCAGTTAATTAGTTCATGGGAGTGGGTTAGAAAGGATGTGTAACTGTTTTTCTCTGCCTGTAATTCACATGTTGACTCAGGGTTCATTCGGAATAAGTAGAGTGGAGGTAAGATCCTCAGAAATGGAGAAAGTAGAAGGTACTTCTAGGAGATTTGGGGAGAGGAGAGGGGAACAATTCATTTTAAAGATCTAGAGCAATTCATTTTTTTTTCTTTGGGGTGTCAAGTTACTTATCTGTAAAATATTGTGCTAAAATACAGGGCCCTTCTATTTATTATTTTATATATCAGATGATTATTCCTTTCCAGGTTCTGCTAGAGACATAAGAAATGTGAAAAAGTCATTCAAACAAATACAGTTAGTGAAAAAGAAAGATGTAGCTATAATATTATCCCTTTCTATCGGTGACATACTATTCTTCTCTTAAACACCGTGCATAGAAGACTGCTTGGCAGGTAGCAGGTGCTCAATAAGTATTTTCTGAATAAATAAATGTTTCATTATCCAAAATATGGACTTTCTTTTAATGCAATACCTGTCATTCATTTTATGAAATTCTGCATAAGCCCTGACTTTTCTTTCTGCAAAATTTTTCTATCACTGATTTCTTTGTCTTCTGAATGTGACTTTCTGGGAGGCGCTGTCATTCTTGCCATGGTCTCCTGGTTGTTTTATTTTTATTTATTTATTTTATTTTTTTTAAATAGATGGGTATTGCTATGTTTGCCAGGCTAGTCTTGAACTCCTAGCCTCCAGCAATTCTCCTATCTTGGCCTCCCAAAGTGCTGGGATTATAGGAGTGACCCATCGAGCTTGACCTTGTTTTATGTATATATATATACGTATATACACACACACACACACACACATAAATATATACATATATACACACAAATATATACATATATACGTATATACATACATATACGCATATATATGCATACATATATATACTATATATGTGTATATATATATATTTTTTTTGAGATGGAGTCTCGCTCTGTCACCCAGGCTGGAGTGCAGTGGCACGATCTCGGCTCACTGCAACCTCCATCTACCAGGTTCGCGCCATTCTCCTGCCTCAGCCTCCCGAGTAGCTGTGACTACAGGTGCCCACCACCACACCCGGCTAATTTTTTGTATTTTTAGTAGAGACGGGGTTTCACCATGTTAGCCAGGATGGTCTCAATCTCCTGACCTCATGATCCACCCACTTGGGCCTCCCAAAGTTCTGAGATTACAGGCGTGAGCCACCGTTCCCAGCCTATATTTTTAATGTTACTATCCTTTTGACTACCTTGTTGCCAAATTACTCCTTTTAATACTTTCTGCATACTTTCTAATACTTTTAGCACATTTAATTGTCCCGTTTTATAAAATGAAAATCTTACCTTTATACCTTAAAAAAATTTAACACTTTAATATACTTTTACTAACTAGCTTGGAATTTTACAGTTTATTTAAAGTACTATCTGTTAAAAATTACTTTTGGCAAGGTAGGTCATAAGGCTAGTATGTCATTGAGTAGGATTTTCATTAACGAGAAATAAAAAGACTTTAATCCATGTTTGACATTAACTAGTTGTGTGACTTTGGATACACCTCTTAGATAATATTGGAGCTATGTCTCAGTTATATAATGCTTTATGTTGCTATGATTTTGAAAAGAGGAAAAATATTATCTGATATTTGAATTCTTGCAAAAGATATGTTTTACTCAATACATTAATGAAAAAAAATTATGAAGAAGCTTAAATTTGGAGACCCAGGGCCCTGTGTTGCCTTAGTTACTAATAACTCTTATAGAAAATTGTGTTACATAAAGTACTTAGAGGATGAAAATAAATCATTTACCACATCATTGAAGGGAAATTATTCTTTCACAAAGAAAAAGTTTAAAAATGAAAAGCTTTTTTCTCACTCATATTGGCTTTAATCAGGCCAGCTGCCTCTTAGCAGTCAAACAACCCATTTCTCTTTTATCACTATCATTGTGTTTGAATTATCGTGGCCCTGAGATGAACTGCTGCAGGAAAATGGCTTGAAAGAAATACATATATATACATTGGCATCATTCTTCAGTCTCTTCTTTTTGGTAGCACAGCTTTCAAGCCAAGTTGGCTCCTGTTCAAAACTAAAAAAAAACAACAAAAAAAAAAACCAAAAAAAACCCAACAGTTAAACAGCTGGAACCAATTATACTAACTTCAGAGGGACTATATGCTCAAGTGTCCAAGTAGCAAACTGGATCTCTGATACAATGGGCTTGTTATTTTGTGACTTGACCACACCACTTACATTTAGTTTGCCCATTGCCTCCTATTAAAGGTAATCTCCAGAATTAGGCACCCATACACTTTCAACAAACAAATGTTATTATTTTATTGCGTTTGCATAAGCTCACAAAAATCACACCTTAAGCGTGTATACACATGAGTGGATCTTATTTTCTTGGAAAAAGAAACAATTAAGAAAATTGGATGTAAAAGTTAAGTAAATATGTATCTGACAAGCAATATATTTTGACACTATCATAGGGATATGGAACTTTAGAAAGAGAAATGCACTTGGATAATGACAAAATAAAATGCATATCACAGACTATTTTTTCCAGCATCAAAAATATTAAAAATATAGTTTCTCTCAAGTTCATTTATAGAAAGAATGAGAAAATTAAGTGGATTGCAAATGATTCATGTAAACATTTGTCTTCACAAGAACATACAATTTTCATAACATATTATTATATTTATACTTTATGTTTTATAAAGTTGCCTCATTTTTTAAGGAGCTTAGACTGCAGCCCTCTAGCTGTTTGAGATGCTTATTCTCTAGAATCAGGAAGTAAATGTTGGCAATAATATTAAATATAATTTGGATAGGAAAAAATCCAGTTCATAATTTTATTCCCTATGAAGAGCAAATTATAAATTGGCAAGATACACTGGTTTTAATATGTTCTACTCTGAAATAGAAACTCCCTTAAGTTTACTGTAGAAAAAAAAATCCTTTGCTCTCCATCAAGACAAGCATCTCACAAATCACAAAGAGGATTTTGTAACCAGGCAACCAAGGTCAGTGAGACTGTGACCAAGGCTTGGAGAACCAGCTGAACACACACACCAGGCGGGGAGAGGATTTGAGCTGCAAGGAAGAAAATAAATGTGGTATTTTGAAGCACTCATTTTAAAAACCTTCATTCCATAACACTATGCAGATGTACACTGTGAAAAGCAGCTGCTTCAAGTCCGCATTTTGAAGAATAAAATTATATTTTATTCAAAGTATTTCCCATTATAAATGTACCCATATTAGTAAAGAAACTGGAAAATGAACAACAACAAAAGAAAACCTTTAGACATTCTTCTAACATGGGTGATTTCACTCGGATAGTAAATGAATTCTTGACTTTGGCCAAGATAAATGATTATAAAGGGTAAATTTGCTAACCCCTATGGTCAGGAATGTTAAAAATAGATGAAATCCTTCCATGAGTTCTCCTAAACTGTTTCCAAGTAACTGAAATTGGCATTTGTATTTTTCATATTGACACACAGCATAGCATATTGATCAATACTACAGAATTATGCTACCTATCAGAATTCTAGAAGGCAACAAATATGACAAAAATCAAATACTGTTATTGATTTTAAGTTGACTGTAGAGCTGTTTGTTTCAGAAGCTCAAACATGTTAGTTTCAATAGCTCAAAAATTGTCACACCTGTGACCCAAGTAATTGTGTTAGAAAATTGTATTGAGTATTGCAGTCATTTACATTGTTAACGGTTGGAGTGTCTCATAGAATAAACAGTATGGTGAACAGCTTTAAATCTGGTTTGTGACTTTTGAAGCTCATCTAAGTCTCAGATGAATGGATTTGGTAGGTAAGTTGGATATATTTGGCTATTATTCTGTTCACTTACTTTCCACCAATGTTTTCTATAAGACATGTTCGTATCTGTGTCAAGAGACTGCCAGTTGCCTAAGGTGTGCACCAACATGCTCAGAGAAGCTATTGTGTTATCCTGGCTCAATCAACTTGACATTTAGTTTTACAATAACATATTTAAATTATTCCAGCCTAAACCTAATGATGAAATTCCAGATGCAATTTTATCAATATACACCTTTTCTAGGAAATATATTACCTGGCTGAAAAATGAAAAGAATGTAGAATGTATTTATGAAACCAGAATGCCAGATTTTCATATATTGTAAAAATACAGCATGAGCAAATACAGGCATTTTTTAAAATCATGCATTCACCTTGTCTAACTCTTTCCTTTCTACTTCCGTTTTTACTGATTATACATCTAACTAAGCTTCAGTGAGGTCATAATTAAATGTAATGTTGTTTTTGGTTTAAAGGGAAATCTGCAATCACAGTAATGTGTGTTCATGGAACCTGAGTGTTATCACATGAACACAGACACCTGACCCAAAACGACAGGCAGTGGTTCACATGATGTTGAGAAAATGTTTGTATCCCTAATGTTTATAGGTGAAATCATAAACTGTTTGGTTCAGCTAGCATTTTCTGAACTTATAACCTTTCTCTCAGTGAAATGGCAGAAGGGAATATGACATTATATTGCAGGAACTCTAGATACGGTTAAGAATTTATGTCCCTGTGGGAAGAATAGTAGGGAGTAAGATTCAGTAATTCGACCTCTGAACTGATAACTGACTATATCAGAAGACTGTCATGTGCCACATTAAAGTTCATTTAAACACTATATTAAGAGCCAGATTGTTTGTAATGCATGAGAAAGTCATTGTGAGCAAGCTAGATATGGATGAAAAATACCTAGATGTGTGTGTCGCACAGATTTTGCTTTATGACTGGCAAAATGGGGACTCCATTTTAAAGGTCTGCTTCTGCATTTCTAACATTAAACCTCCAAAGGTGTCATATTGTATATACCTTCTAAGAGGTAAACAAAAAGTATTTCTTAATGTTTTCATAGAAGCCAAATTTAAGTGGAAACAAAGAATGTAGCAAAATTTAAAAAGAACTGAACCATAAGCCAAAACATATCAAGAGCATTACTAAATGAATAAGGGGTTTTTCTAATATATGCACTGTGTATAACCACATATCCTTTAGCAACAAAATCAAATTTAAAAGGATTTTATTCATAAGTCATCCTTTGGTTTGGTGAACAAATATTATTGAATGCCATTTTAGATAGGAATGATTACTTGGAAAAATTATCATTTAGTAACATAATATTTTAGCTTTAATAAATATGTAAATATAGCCTCTTTAAATATGTCTATAATATCTACTAGGCCTTTTATCCTGCCATAAAAATGAATGTGTTACAAAACAGATTAGCCATAAGGTTTTCATATATTTCTAAAATTCACAGTAAATGACATCTGTGAGCCAGATGGCATTAATGAAAATGTCTCTTTACTTCCTGTGTTGCTCAAGAGAAAAATAATACTGATTATTTTGACCTCAAAACAACTAGAGTTTTATTATCTGCAGATTGCATCATTTTTCACATTTGCTCCTAAAACAAAATGATTTCCACATTAACAGTTATTTCAGTTGTTTTTTTTCTTGTTTTTAAAAAATTGATGCTTTAAGAAACAATACCTATTGAAAATTAAAAAGCTTTCATACTAACCAGATAAAAAGTGCTCTGGGCTCCTAGTACAAATCTAGTTCTCTTAGCACTAAACTCTGGCAGACAAGAAACATGAAGATATAGCAAATATTAGTTCAAGTTTTAAATTATGTATTGACATACTTCTTTAACAGTTAAATGCAAAGCTTTAAAAGTTATTTCTTAAAATATCTAAAATTGGATATTCTATACTAGAAAAATAAAAAGGCAAAATCCACAATTTCCAGGTCAGTTCACTTGCAAAAATAACTTTTAGCATAAATAATTTGTCTAACACACTTAGCACTTCATTTAGTCTGTCTAGTTTTAGGCATAAGCAATGCAATGGATGTAAGAATGCACTTACTTGGAGATGTTGCCAAAGAAAACAATCATGAAGAACAGGAAGACAAAAACTCTAATTCTGAAGAACAAATTTATTAAGAAATACATTACATTTACAAATGTAGAAAAGTGAGACAAATGCATGAGGAAAAATATTTTTATGAGATTTGGATCTCTGGATACACTTTTATTTTACACTGAATGTAAAATGTTGGATGTTTGCAAATCAACATTGTCTACCAGACTGCTAAGGCGGGGACCATGTTTCATTCATTTCTGTATCATGAGAATTTGGCAGACTATTTGAAACTCATTCCAAAAACAATGCAAATTTGAATTTGAAAAAATAGATGAATGAATGAAGCTTTTTAATCAGTTCCATCAATAACCACCTGTCAACATTATTTATATCCTATTAAAAATTAATTAAAGAGTAAATGTTAAATAATGGAAATGAAAAATTCTTTGTTAAAAATGTATGTAGTTGATGTTTTTATACTTACTCTATTATTCATAAAAACACTAAAGAATAATTATTAACTTCTGTTTTCGTTGATAAAGATATAATGGAATGAGCGTCACAATTCTTTGATATTATATTGCATGCACATGTTAACTTTCTAAAGACTGAAGAAATTTTGCAATAAATTGTTAATGGTATCATTAATATATCAGCAAAATGTTGTCATGTAATCAGTTGTCTTTCTGGTAAAGAAACATGGAGGCTACACAATTAACAATTGTATGGCGGACTTTACAAAGATAAAATGGCATATTGCTAAAATCAGGCCTCTTATTTTAGTTTGTTTCTTTTTGTTTACAATTCTGAAATAAAGTAATTACATGGCCTGAAAGATAATAGTAATTGTTTCACTATGAAAAGAAAAAATTTTAATGTATTTTTAAGTCATTCTTAAATTTAATGAACAATATCAAATTAGTTATATGGAATTTTCAAAAGACTTGTGCAAACATTCATTACTGACCATGATTATATAATGCCAGAATGGCCTCGAGTTGTGTAGTAGTGTGTAAATATGTGCATGTTTGTGGTAATATCTATACATCTGTCTATGCTATCAACTATCTGTTCATCTTTTGATATTACTGACAGACATTACCATATATATATATTTATACATTTTTTTTGAGACAGAGTTTTGCTCCTTGCCAAGGCTGGAATGCAATGGCGCGATCTCAGCTCACTGCAATCTCCTCCTCCCAGGTTCAAGAGATTCTCCTGCCTCAGCCTCTCAAGTAGCTGGGATTACAGGCATGTGCCACCACTCCTGGCTTTTTTGTATTTTTAGTAGCGACAGGGTTTCTCCATGTTGTTAAGGCTGGTCTCGAATTCCCGACCTCAGGTGATTCTCCTTCCTTGGCCTCACAAAGTGCTGGGATTACAGGCATGAGCCACCGCGCCCAGCCATATATTGTTTTTCTTTGTTTACATAAACGAGAATATAGAAAGCTGCAACTTAATATTCACATGAGATACTAAATTGTCAATATTTTCTTAACTTGTCACTGTTTTTTCTCAGTTAAGTTAAAAAATAGTGTCCCAAGAATGCTTGACACTTTGATTAAATTTTATACCTATTATATTTATTTATAAGTATGTATAAATACACATACATATACAACAAGGATATACTGTCACCACTACAAAAATAAACAATAGAATAAAAAGATATCCTTAGATCCATAAATGTACCTATATCCTCAAGTGTGAATTCAAAAGCATATCTTCCAGATCTACTCTATTTTGGTTAGTGTTTGTCTGATGGTTAAACAAACTAACAAAATGCATAGTGACATTAAAAGAGATGTCTCCGGGACAGTTTTTTTTTCCAATCATTACAAGATGCATGGAGTACAAAATATATATAGATAGGTATGATTAAATTTAAAAAATAATGTATATTTCCCCACCTTGAAGGACAGATGTTGGGAAGCTATAAGTACTAAAAAGCACCCTTTAAATCACATTATTGTTTTAATATCTGTCCTGATATTACTGCAGTCTTTTATTTTCAAGGTATAATTGCCACTTTTCACAGCAGTCTTGCAATTCCTAGCCATAAATGAAGACCATTCACATAGCATCAAACTATACAATCTGCAATAATGTGAATTTTCATTTATTTTTCTTTCTCTTTACGACTTTATATGTTGGTTAGATTTTCAATAGCATGATCCTATGGTATTCTGGCAAAGAAGTACTGACCCTCAGTCTGACTCATACAGCATGATTGTTTCCAGAAGTCTACAGACGTGATTTCATTTCCCTGTCCTTTTTTTTTTTTTTAATAATGAATTCATGGTGAAGTGAGTTTGGGATGCATTCATTGTTCCTTTAATGAAATTGTTTTAAAAAAACCATATGCTAAGGAATGGGGAAGACAGTTATGAACGATAGGGTCTTTCTTTCTGCTTTGAAATGTTGTTTATTCAGTTCATTGTGTGGTGGTCCTTAGAGTCAATTGAATATTTAAATCAGACTCCAAAAAATGCTCCTAACCAAATATGATCTCCAATATGTGGAGAAGGATGCATTAATTCTATACATCTACACATTTTCCCATAAGTATTACAATATTTGCAAGATAAGTTCTCATTTATTAAAGTTACCAGTTAAAAATCCCAAATATTAAGTATTTATATACAGTAATTTCTAATACAAAGGGTTCATAATTTAACAATCAGAACATTGCAACAACTGACCTTTCTGTGAATCTTTAAAGAAAAATAAATGTTATAACTAAAAGAGCCATATGTCTTAAATTTCTGAAAATTAACTTCTGCTTGTTAAAACACATAGATCAGGGATCAGAAATTGGCAAAGCTTTTTTCTTAAAGGGCCAGAGAGTAAATGTTTCAGGTTTATATGCCATATGTTCTTGGTCACAGCTACTCATAACTCCTATGGAAATGTAAAAGCCACTGTAGACAATACGTAGGTAAAGAGGTGTAGAGGTGCCCTAATAAAACTTTATTTACAAAAACAAGTTGCTTCTTGTGGTCTGCTGACCCCTGATGTAGAAAATTCTTTAGCGTTATTGAATAAATAGAAATTGAGATGATTATTGATCTTATAAATTTATTTCTGAAAGTTACCAAAGTTTTAAAAAGATAGGTGAAATAATCTGTTATATTGAGATATAAGTCTGATCTAGAGTCAGAAGAATCAGAAAGCCAACATTTAATGAAAGAATGTTTATGTAAACATGCCCTCAAGAAAACAAATGTTATTTTTGATAAAATATTTACGTTTTAAATCTATGATTTCTTAAGACAACGTATTTTCTTTTCTAAATACTTGTTTGTTATGAACTCAAAAAATAAAAACAAGAGATCAAGAAAATAACCCTAAGCTCAAAATATTCATTTCCCAAATGTATCTGGCTTTATACAAATTGGGAGAGGAGATTGCTCTACTGAATGATTATTTTTTTCCTGTAGTAGTTGAGTACAAAGTTTTACATATATATCAAAACAAACTTGTTAAGCATGGTATTAGATCTTCTATATTCTAATTGATATCTTTTCTACATGTGCTATCAATAATTGATAGAGATATGTTTAAATTTTTCACTGAGTTTAGAAATATATATTTTTCTTTTTAGTTTCATAAGTTTTTGCTTTATTTATTCTGAGGCTACATTACTTGCATCACACAAATTTAGAATTGTTACATGTTTTGGGTGAGTTGTCTCTTATCATTATGAAATGTTACTGTTAAAGTTGGTAACGCATCTTGCCTTACAATCTAATATGTCTGATATAAGATAGACCAGCTTTCTTTGGTTAGTATTTGCAAGGTGAACTTTCTATCTTTTAATTTTCAGTATTTCTTTATAATTATATTAAAGCATTATTTCTTTTAACTATGGTTTTCTTAATATTTTCTGACAATCTTTGTCTTTTAATGGAAATATTTAATATATGTGTATATATTGACAGGAGAAACAATTAAAACTTCATGTGATCTAAACCAAATCTTGTGCATTTAAAATTTTTCTTTTTAACTTATAGCATTCCAAGATATAGAATCAGTGTCTGAAATAGAGTCAGCCACTAATTACCAAGTAGATTGATAAAATCATCTTATAAACCAACAAGTCCTCCTCTTTCTTCCTCCACTTATGTCGCTGGCTTCTTTGATTAGGAACTTTGAGGTCACCTTTATCTTTCATTTTCTTTTTATATGACATCCACTTAGGTAGTATTTTATTAAATTCTATAAATTTAACTTGAAAATGCTTCTTGCATCTATAAATTTCTTTTCTGTATGACTCCTCCCTATTCAGAGGAATTCAAGTCTATTTTAATAAATCCTCTTCTTCTTTTATACTTCTCTGAACTCAGACACATCCTACATTAGTTTGAGATTAAATATAGCATACTCATATCAAAATAGTGCCCAATTCATAATTGAACACCGGTTCTCATTTGCCCCTCAGAGGACTTGGCCAATCTTCTATCTATCCATATATATCATCCTTCTACATTACACCACAGCAAAAAACAAAAACAAAAACAAAAAAACTTCCTCTCTACCTGAGCATGCTTTTTTTTTATATTTAAACTTTTAATCATGTTATTCATTTTTTTAGAACATATTTTCTTTCTTGTCATTTATGTCTTGAGATTCCACCTATCACTTAAGGATAAACTCAAATATCGCACCACTTAGAGGCTGCTTCTGATACTCATAAGTCATGGGGGTGTAGCTTGCTTTGATAGATCCTCCAGCACTTTGCTTGTGTCTCAATAATGGCACTAATTACATGCAAGGCATATTATATTTATTTGGTAAAGTTAAAAATAAAAATGTATTTTCTAATCTGTCTTTATTAAATTGTGACTTTTGAGAACAAAGACTTGGTCTTGTTCGTCTTTTAAAATACACCCCGCACAAATAAACACACGCATAATGCCAAGAGTACTCTATATGCTGCTAAATTCCTTAACAAATATAGATATGTAAATAGACAACTCATTTAATTTGATGTTTTTCCTTTAACCAATCAGATTTCTCCAAACTGGGAGGAAATATGTAGGTAAAGTTAAACTACTAATATCTTATCTCTGGAAACTGAATAATTTTTCTCTGTGGATGAAACAACAAGGTATATTCTTATGTTGTACATTTGAAAATATTACTTCAACAGAATACTATGGCCTGGCGCAGTAGCTCATGCCTGTAATCCCATCACTTCGGGAGGCCGAGGCAGGGGGATAACTTGAGGTCAGGAGTTTGAGACCAGCCTGGCCAACATGGCGAAACCTCGTCTCTACTAAAAATACAAAAATTGTCTGGGTGTGATAGCGCTCACCTGTAATCGCAGCTACTAGAGAGGCTGAGGCAGGAGAATTGCTTGAACCCGGAGAGCAGAGGTTGCAGAGCCAAGATCGCACCACTACACTCCAGCCAAGGGCAACAGAGTGAGACTCCGTCTCAAAAAAACAAAAACCAAAAAACAAAAAACCAGAATACCATGTAAAGACTCAAAACTACTTTTAGCAGAAGGAAAATAGCATTAGTCTACAGCCTAAGGGATTCTCCCATTCCCTCAAACGACAGGATGCTTCAGATCATGAAGTGGAAGAGGGTAAGATAACATTGTCTACAAAGGATTGGCTGATTTATTTGTTTCTTGTGGGGGCAGTAATGCAGACAACTCAATTTTTCTATCATTTAACACATCAGGAGGCTTATCTGTTCTTCTCTATAGCTTTATTTACAATGTATCTGTTTGACTTTGCCCTTAGGTTACTCTCCTGTCATGATTATTCACTGATGCTAATCTGTTCTATCTCTCTAAAATTAAACCTCCATTTTTATTGACAGTTGTTAGTGAGATACTTAATTTAACCATTTACAGATTTGGAAGAAAATACAAATTCACACTCATATCGATTATGTTCTTACATTTTGAAGTCAAATGTTTTAGCTTTTAACCACAGATTTCTTCACATATCTGGTATATTAATCTCCTTAATCAGCCTCTTACATAATGAAATAAAATGTAAGGGAATATTTTGTACTGAACACGTCAACAAGGCAATTGTCCTACTAAAAACAGCACTTTAGAATTACATAATTTAAAACATGCATAATGTCTCTATGTTTAAAATATTTCTTAGGTTAAAAATTAAGGAAAGCATTCATAAAAAAATTCATCAAAAATTTTGGAAAAAAGACAAGGATAATACAAGAGAAGTAAATCATAGGACAATATCCCCAATGAACATGGTCACACAAGTACTCAGCAAAATTCTAGCAACAAATTCAACAACACGTGAAAAGGATAATTTACCAAAATCAATTGGAATTTGTCTCTGGGATGCAAGGATGGTTCATTATGTGCAAAACAATGAATATGATACACCACATTAACAGAATAAAGGACAAATATCATATGATCATCTCAATAGATGTCAAAATTCAACATCCTTTCATGATAAAAACCCTCAACAAATTAGGCAGAGAAGAAATGTACCTCAACACAATAAAGGCCATATATAACAAACCCACAGCTAACATCACACTCAATAGAGACTAGTTGAAAGCTTTTACTCTAAGAGCAGGAACAAGGAAAGGTTGCTCACTCTTACCACTGCTGTTCAACCGAGTACTGGAAGTCCATGTCTGAGCAATTAGGCAAAAGGGAGAAATAAAAACATCCAAAGTGGGGGGAAAACTTTAAATTATCTGTTTATAGATAACAAGATATTGTATATAGAAAATCTTAAGGACTCCACCAAAAATTGTTAGAATACATAAATTCAGTAAAGTTGCAGAGTACAAAATCAGCGTACGAAAATAAGTAATGTTTCCATATACTGATAATAAACTGTCCTGAAAAAAATCAAGAAAATACTGTCATTTTTAAAAGTTACAAAAAATCAAAACACATAAACCAATGGAGCCACAATGGAGCATCCAGGAATGAATCCACTCATTTACAGTCAATTGATTTTCAACAAACACGGTGGGGAATGTACAGTGTCTTCAACAAATGTTGTTCGCAAAACCATATATTCAAATGCAGAAGAATAAAATTAGACACTCATCTCACTATATAAAAATCAACTCAAAATAGATTAAAAACTTAAACATAAGACCTGAAGCTGTAAAACTGCTAGAAGAAAACGGAAGGGAAAAGCTCCATGGCATTGGTCTGGGCTATAATTTTTTGGATATGATCCCAAAAGCACAGGCAACAAAAAAGAAAAAATAGACTAATTGGATTACATCAAACTAAAAAGTATACACAGTAAAGGAAACAACCAACAGAGTAAAGACCTATGGAATGGTAGAAAACACTTTCAAACCAAACATCTGATAAGGGTTAGTATCCAAAATATAAAAGGAATTCAAACAACTCAATAGCGAGAAAACAAATAACCTGATTTTAAAATGGGCACAGGACTTAACAAGACATCATGGCCAACAGACTTATGAAAGAAATGTTCAATATTACTAATTGTCAGAGAAATGTAAATTAAAATCACAATGAGATACCACCTCACAACCTGTTAGCATGGCTATTATGAAAAAGACTAAAGATAACAAATGTGGGCAAGGATGTAAAGAAAAGGGAACTCTTTTTTACTGTTGGTGGGAATGTAGTTAGTACAATCATTATGGAAAACAGTGTGGAAGTTCCTCAAAAACTAAAAATAGAACTTCCATATGATCCACCAATCCTACTACTGGGTATGTATCCAAAGGAAAAGAAATCAGTGTGTTGAGATATCTGCACTCCCATGTTCATTGAAGCATTGCTCACAATAGCCAACATATGAAAACAACCTAAGTGTCCATCAATAGGTGAATCGATAAAACAAATGTGCTATATATATACAATACAATATTATTCAGCCTTAAGAAAAGAAAATCTGTCAATTATGACAACATGGGTGACCCTATACAACGTTACGTTAAGTGAAGTAAGCCAGGCACTGAAAGACTAATACTACATGATCTCATGTGTATGTGGAATCTAAACATAGAAGCTGAGAGTAGAATGGTGGTTATCAAAGGCTGGAGAATGGGGAATTGGGGAGATTTGGCTAAAGGATACAAAGTTTCAGTAAGACAAAGTATAAATTCAAGAGGTCTATTGTATATCATGGTAACAGTGGTTAGTACATATATTGTACACCAGAAAATTGCTATGAGAATTAATCTTGTGTTCTAACCACAAAAAAGTGTGTGAAGCTTGATTTAGCCATTCCACAATATATACATACATCAAAACATATTGCACACCATAAATATATACAATTTTTGTCAACTTAAAAAAATCAGAAAATTAGTACAAACAAGAAATTATGAAAAAGCAAATTCAGTCATGATTAAACTATTGTATATTGAATATGTATTATGTGGTGATTAGTGTGCTATGAGTAAAATATTAACCAAGCAATGATGACTCTGCCCTCATACATAGAACATTTTGGTGAGAGGAAGAGCAAATTTTTTAAAAAATAAATCCTTGAAGAAGTTTGTAGCAACAAATTATGCTGTAGCTATAGCATGGAGCATGCTGGAATAGTATAGAAAAGAGGGAATACGCCAGTTTAGAGAGTTCTGGGAAGGCATTCCTAAGGAAATTATATTTAACTTCAAAGCTAAAGTATGATGAATTACTTAGGTATATGGGAACATGTGTTCCACATTAATCAATTGACAAAAGAATCTCATGTAGAAGTATCATGTAGCATTATTTATAATTATAGAACAAGAGAAATGAAAAAAAACTGCCATCCGATAATGGAGGACTAATTAGGTAAGTAACGGTACAAATGGCTGATGAAATATCATGAAGTTATTAAAATCATTATAAAATGCATGTTGATATCTATGTTAAGATATTTTAGTGAATATCTATGTTAAATATTCAGTTGATTGGACAAGGCTTACCCACATTATGGAGGGTAATCTGCTTTACTCAAAGTCTACCAATATTTAAATGTTAATCTTATTAAAAAAGAAACATACATAACAATGTTCACCAAATATCTGGACACCGTGACTCAGCCCATTTGACATAGAAAATTAAATCATCACAGATGGTAATTGTGCTACTCCTGTTTCTACTACTAAGTTCTGGACCCATGCATTTTTCCTATCGGTGATTAGTACCCTCTCAATGCATATGCTGTATCCTGAAGGATGTTTTCACAGTGTTGCCTTTGAGCTGCTATATGACCAGTAGATCACGTGGCTATGGTATTATTCCCATACCTCTTATATTATCAAATGAGGCCTCTGGTTGGATATTATGCTGTGTTGATATTATGCGGAGGATCTGTAGGAAAAAGAGGCAAACTGATACACAAAATAAGTAGCTGTCCTTGTGAGAAACAACTACTAACTCTTCCAGAATGGAAGTGGCTCAATGTAATTGGCTATTACGTGAGGATTAATGCCATATTGGTTACTTTAGCATTGGTCTCTATTGCTGACATATTGGGCTTTCAGAAGCAATAGTGGATAGGGATTGGAAAGTGGGAGATTATGCTATTGGACTCAGACAGGCCTTGTCCTGAACACAGTTATTCTGTTAATGTGTCCATCATGCTAGCTCTAGGGTGGCCAATGATGAAGACTGGCTAAAGGCTACTGGCCTACTCATTTGTCTACTTAGTTGTTCAGTGCTTACTTCATGGTGGATTTGTTGTGGCTATCATTATGTGATACACAAGTTTTCACTTTTCATGCCCATTCCATATATGCCTTCACAAGTCTTTAACCCAGACCTGCTTGTCTCTGATTTTCCTGTCCTTTCTCTTCTATGCCCCTGACCAGATGCCCAGGCCATTTGTCACTGACCTTTAATTTCTACTTGGGTCACTTTTTCTCCATGCTAGCTGGATGACCCAGTACACAAATCACATCTCTGCCCATTAGCAATATTTCCTCCCATTCTCTTTCAAGGACATGAAAATTAGCATAGTCTTCAGGAGAAATTGTAAATAAATATTGTTGTATCTAAGTGAATAAAAACTGTTTCTGTTCTTTTCTGGCTGGAATAAAAATAACTATTTAATTAATGATTTATTTATGCTCAATAGCATGTACTTGATGTCTTATTATTCTACTCTAGCAGTGATACAACGTACATCACAGTGCTTGGGATTGGGGCTTGGTTAATCCAGTTACAATCTACATATATTTTACAGAATCCACCTACAAGAGACAGAGTGGTGAATTAAACAAAGACAGGCTAAAGACTACTACTCTGCATCCTTTGCTCCTTTAATGGTAACACTAATCTCCATCATCCCTCATCCCTGGATAAAATACTGTTTTTGATTTAAATTTTGGCTGCTAAGGAAGATGGTAACAGAGCTTTCTACTTAGCCTTGCCTGCTATTGGGTACATAACACTGGGCTCTATTGCTGACACATTGGACTTTCAGAGGAAATAGTGAACAGGGATTGGAAAGTGGGAGACAATGATATTGGATTAAGACAGTCCCTTGTCTTGAACACAGATGTTATTCTGTTAATGTGTCCATCATGCTAGTGGGGTGCCTGCAAAAATTGCAGTAATAAGCTCTGATGCCTTTATCATTGGCCATCATGGGGTGGCCAATGATAAAGACTCGTTAAAGGCTGCTGGCCTAGTCATTTGTCTACTTAGCTGGTGGAATGATTCCAATAAGAATAGATTCTTACTCCACATCCCAGCAGCTGCGTGTGGGGATCATTCTACCTACTAAATATCTCCTGCTGTAACAGGGAAATTTAATGCCAATTTAGGTCTCTGGGTATCAATGTAGACTAGACCCAGGGCTCTGCAAAACATTTGAGTATTTTCCTTTTCACTATACTCATCAGAATAAGTGGTCTTAGGTCCCTCTAGAAAAGAACTAGAGTAATGATTACAATATACATTTGCCATAGTGTGGCGGGACCTTTCTTCCAGACACCTGACCACTTCTTTACTTTGAGAACTGGTCAAATAATGCTGACTTCTTACTGGGACAACTGCCGTCAACCTCCTGTGTCTTCACTCTTGCCTTTTTCTGGTTGTAAATTTTAAGCAGCATCTTTATTGACTAGGTGTCTATTTTCCCATAGAGATGCCATTGCCTAGGAGCCATCTTCAAACACACTATCAGTCAGCAATTTTTGGCTGCTCCTTAAATGTTGATGTGCATACAGTAATTTGGGGCTTCTGGTTTCTGGCAGCTAAACACTGCCATCTGACTCCTGTTACGTCTTGGCACATCATTATCATGGATGTTAAAGAGAAAGCTCTGTGACTGCAGAGGAGGGCCACAACTGTACTTTTTGTGTAATTTTTGTGTAATCCTCTCACCAGCACATTCCTGATGGCCTTGGAAAATGGTATGTGTTTTGGAATCTCACATGGAATATAACATGGTGGTATTATTTGGCCTAATATGATATATTCATTTCAGCATTCCCACTGTACTTGGCCTTTTTATTCCTCCTCCACTATGAGTCACAGCAGCTTGAGCATTTTTATTCAAAATTGCAGTAATAAGCTCTGATGCCTTTTAAGCATTATTGCCATAATATTTTTGAATTGCTGGAATCATTAAATCTGTAAAGCCATTTCTCTGCACAATGTGGCAGGGACTATGTTTCCCATATTCTTCAGGATGACATCCTCTTTGCCTGCCAATTAGTGAGTGACCTATTACCAGACCCTATTTTACCGCCTGTTTTCTGGCACTCCTTGCATTCGTTTGGGTCCTCTGAGAAGCAGATAGCAGACAGGTTTAGACATGTAAGTGATTTATTGGGGAAAATCATCGGAAGGAATATGAAGAGTCAGAAGAGGTTGGGAAACTGCTCAGAACTTGATGTAGGTCTGACTCCTATGGAGGAGATGTTGGAGGAAGGAAAATTGTATAGAAAAGTCTTAGACTATAGTGCAATTCTAAGAAAGTTTCACTGAAGCAGACTGGGGGTTCTCAAGCCAAAGATGCACATTACAGGAGTGCTTGTCCCTAGGAGTAGTAGTCTTGCGTTAGTGAAACCAGTCAAATTTCCTCATAGAATTTATGTCTATGATTTTTTTTATAAACATAGAAATGGACTCTCCCAGTCTTAAAACTTGAGAAAATTGCATTTGCCTTATCAAAGTTCCTTTCTCAGGAAATTGATCATCAGGCCTCCCAGATAGTACCAAGGAACTGAAATTTACCAGATCACTACATCTGGACAATGAAACACCAGACCCCTCGTCCATTATGACTGCCTCACTGACCATTTGCTGCCTGTTGACCAACTCCGCTTCCTTACCTCTCCCTAATTCCTATTTTTCCACATATCGTTAGATTTCTTCACTGCTATATGAACCCCTAATTTAAGTCAGTGGGGGAGATAGAATTGAGACTTACCTCTCAACTCCTTGGCTACAGCATCCAAATAAAGCCTTCTTCCGTGGCAATACTCATTGTCTCTTTGATTGGCTTTATGTGTGATGAGCCACAGGACCTAGACCAAACCCTTGGCATTTTGGTAACATTATTCTTGACATGCCCAGTCACCAGTTGGGAGCAGCCTGTGGGAAGTGTGGCATAATTGCAGTGTTGATTTTCAAAGCACAGCAGCTGAGACCATAGTCAATTTTACTCCCCATAGTCAGAGATTTGAGAGTAGCATATTCTTGACTGCTAGAGTACAGAATGCTTTTCTACCCTTTGGAATGAAGATAAACCCACTTACAGCCATGTGTTAAAAAATCACAGAACTTCTGTTAACTTAAGGTCCTGAATAAGTGCATGGAGGGTGGTATCACCCATTACTATTGACATGAAAAAGAAACAAACTTGTATTATGTTTGTGTAATTATACATTTTAGAATCTTTTTATACCAGAAGGTACTTAGTTTAGTTGATTCTTCTGCTCAACCAACAATTCCTTTTTATATTTTCATTTACCTTTCTTCTATTAACTTCTGCTGACATCTAAATGAGCTCTCATTTTTCAGTACCCCAAGTGATGCCCACTTACTAATCTGCATAATGTGCATTTTTTATTTTATCAGCATTGACCATTCCTTACCCAGAGATTCTCTCTTACCCCAACAGGAAGCATACTTTTGAGACGAAAGTTATTTGAAATTCAAAGTCAAACTGAGCCCAGTTCATTGGTCACCTACTATGATTACTTGATATATAGATATATCTACCTTGTTTCTTTTTTCCTTTTTTTTTTTTTTTTTTTTGAGACAGAGTCTCATTCTGTCACCTGTGCAGTGGTGTGATCTTGGCTCACTGCAATCTCCGCCTCCCAGGTTCTAGCGATTCTCCTTCCTCATCCTCCCAAGTAGCTGGGATTACAGGCGCCCACCACCATGCCTGGCTAATTTTTGTATTTTTAGTAGAGTGGGGGTTTCACCATGTTGGCCAGGCTAGTCTTGAACTTCTGACCTCAGATGATCCACCTACCTCGTCTCCCCAAAGTGCTGGGATTATAGACGTGAGCCACTGTGCCCAGACTACCTTGTTTTGACATCTGCTATTTGTGTATTTCTGAATTTTTTGCATTTGCCTAGTTCTCTGTTTTGACTTGGTAAAACTGTCTATATATTCCTTGACTTTTGTATGTTGGCTATTGTCTTTTTTCCTTACCTAAAGGGGGGTAAATGTCTTCCTCTGATTTCTTACTTCACATCTTCTCTGAAATGCCATGTTGATTTCTTATATGGAGATTGTTGAATCTTCCATTTCTCTCTGCTCTCTTATTTTATGAGCTCTTGGTTCTGGGCCATCTTCTGTATAAGTTGGTTGACGGTTCTAATAGGGAGCCCTATATTGTTTTCTGTTCCTAGTCTGGTTTCCAACTCTGTTTCCACAGCGTGTGAGATTACACAGGACCCCATATTAAGCAAGCTGTTTTTTCTGTCAGGAATATCCTCCAAAATCTTTGTCTTAATTCCAGATGATCTGTTCTTGAACAAACAGTATAAAACAAACAACTTTCATAGCTTCCAATAATTCCTTCTCTTCCTTGAATATTGTTTTATGACTCTTGTATTTAATTGTTCCTATATTGTTTAATATTTTTTCTACACATATCTAATTGGTTATTTTTATGTCATTAAAATATTTTGCAGTAAATAACTTTCTTGACCAAATGAAGCTTTAAATGATCTCAAGTGATTGTAGACTATTAAAAGAAATATAGTTCAAATGATTTTAGTTCTCTCTTGCTTGCTTTCTTTCCTCTTTGCTAACCTCTTTCTCTTTGCTTCTTTTCTGTTCTCCTTATATGTTAAGACAAAGGTGATTTTTTTTTCTTTTTCGTTTTAGTATCTGCAGTACTAGGCTGTAAATATGTACATGTGTGTTTATAAACATTTGTGAATAAACATAGATGAGTGTAGAATTCAGCATTTATTTCAGAACTTATTTTATTTGGATGATATAATATTAAAATGTTTCTAAAAAAACCTTTGTTTACTTGTATGCTTAGCAAACACCTGAAAGAGAGCTGTCTTTTAATTTGTTTCTACTTAAAATATAAATGCTGTCATTCTAAATCATTGTTGAAAATAAAACAGAACAAAAGCTAATACTAAGCCTAGGTCTAAAAAAACAATAAAAATAATCCAAATCACTTTCCAAATGCCTTTCATCACACCCTGCAAGGCACTGAAATAGAGTTTTCTATTCCTGTCACATTCAGTTGCAGGATTTACCAGAAGTGGACCTTGTTCCAGTTAGATGAAGTCAGATTATACTGAAAGCTGCTGATCTGTTTTCAGAAGAATTGTTACAATCCTTGAGAGAAATAGCTTAGAGTAATAGAATTTTAGCAGAAATGAATCTGCTACTAGCTGGGAAAAATTGTTATAGCCCCAGAAACTCGAGATGCCAAACTTGTAATTTTGACCATGGTCTATGAAATTAGGGCATAGAAGGGAAATACATTGAAAGAAAGTTTGTTTTTTTTTTTTTTTAACAGAAACTTAAACCACTGTGAATTTCACCATCTCATTTTTTCCCTAGATAGCCCTCAGAAAACAGTGATTACTAACCACTCAGAAAACATTACTAACCATGGCAATGAACTTCACTTGCATGTCGCTTCATGGTAGTACCTCCTTCTTCCCTGGCTAACCAAACAATTAAAGGAAGACAGGCATTTAGGCTATTCTCTTCCATGAAAGCTGTATCTTGAGGAGCTAATTTTAAAAATTGATGTTTTGTTAAAAACACTAAATTGATTAAGCATCAATCTGAAACAACTGCTGAGGATCAGTCACTAACCTAAAAGTCACTGTAGTTTACCTCAAATTTAAGGATTTATTTCTTAACAAAATTATTTACATTTTAAGGAAGTATATTCAGGTGAAGTTGCTGTAGGCAAGAAAAGGATTTGGGAACCAAAGACAGCATTTGACTATAAATGAGGAAGTGTGTCATTTACACACTACAGCCAACCAAAACATTGTGAGAAATAAAAACTAAAATTCATATCCACAGTTGCACATTAAAAGTATAGTTTTTATGACAGTGGGAAAATGAATCAGAAATTACATATTTTGTGTACATGAATTGCAAATTCAGTCTAATCATCTTGCTAAATTCTGTCTGCTGCTTACTACTAAAGACGTCAATTAAGCAAAATCAAAACAACAAAAAGCAATTAGTAGTTTCTTAAATTGAAGGTTTTTCAAACTAACAAAAGATTGCTGAGCACCCAAAGTTGATCACAAAGCCTAGTGATACAGGAAACTTGTCTCCTCACTCTTTTCTTCCATCCTTTCATTCCAGCAGCTGGCTCCCATGCTCTTTCTGATTATAGTGGCAACTGATAACTTCTCCAGGCCAAACTAGAACATTTTTGACACAATTATTCTGGGTTAACCCAAAATATACAATCTAGCAATATTGTGCTCCAGATTCTTGTCTTCTTTTTACTTTCCCTGAGTTACTGAAACTATCCCCATAAATTTTAAAATTAACCCGGGAAGAAGGGAGGGGGAGAAATGAAAATAAACCAAGCTTGCAGCATGTTCAGCCTTAATCACTAAGCAGCTTGCTCTCTGACCCTCTTCCTCATAGCTGTTTGGTGCCTGTTGCCCCAGAATCACTCAGACCCTATCACAGGATTATGGTTCCCCTTAACTGCTCTGTATATAACAATGTAGACATTGTAAAATGTTGTTTTCCCTTTGAGATATTCCTTCAGGTTCTGGATACCAATGAAACTACTGATGTCAGCTGGTATGAAGGACCCCAGGAGGAGCTGACTTAGCAACTAACGCAGTTTCCACATCCTGATGAGTTCATTTCCCTTATCCTGACCAATCAACAACCCCATTTTTCTAGCACCTCGCCCTCCATTATTTCCTTAAAATCCCCAGCCCAGAACTCCTTGGGAAGACTGATTTTATGGTCTTTTCCATCTCCTCACATGGCCGCTGTGTGTCATTAAACTCCTCCTCTGCTGCAAACCCTTCTGTCTCGGTGTAGTGGTATGTTACTACATAGTGGGCATATGAACTTGGTAGTCCTATAACATTACTGGTTAAGCAAACTTTAAAACTGATTCACCATTTAGGGCTAAAAATTCTAAATATATGCATATTAACAAGATCATAGCTGAAATAGACATGTAATATGGACCTTAGAGGAAATATATAATGTTCAATAGGACATACTTAGATCAAATGACTCATTCTAAATTTCTAAAACTGTAGTAAAAGTAAATAAAAACTTCCTAGTCCATGAAGAGACAACTTTCTAGAACAATAAGCTTTGAACAAAAACAGTGCCATGTTACTCAATAAGTTATTCTGAGAGTAAAACTTAGCTTTTCATGTGGCAATTTACTTGTTTATAAAATGGGAAAATTATTTACTATAGCCTTTAGGGCTGTTGGGATATAATTATCTATTTGGACATGCCTATCACAGGATTTGTCATATAAAATTTCAAGAACTGTTAGTTTCCCTGTCAATGAATGTTAAAACTCATTCCATTTACAGATAAAAGCAGTTGTATGCTGAAGACACAGCAAACTCCCCAAAGTAATGTGGGTAACAGCATTGTAGATGTAACAGTGCTAATGTTCCCAATCATCTTGTTCTCTTGACCTCTTTTTCCAAAACATGTTCTCAATAACACATTCTTTCCATGCATTTTGCAGGTAATTTCTCTTCCCCACCTCTATTGCTGTCAGGGTAGCAATATGATCTCATGTTCTCTTATTTTGCACAAGTCACTTTCCTTCAGTGGATTATCTAGAACTCCTACCTTAATTCAAAGAATGTGATTATAACTATGCAAGAAGATTATAAATACAATCCTTTTACTTTGTTTCAGCTGAAGTTTCTAGACAATACTGAGCTGAATAGTTTTTTTTTTTCTTTAGCAGCCTAGGAAAGAGATTTTGAGGCAGAGAGAAGGCTTGCTGAATGGGAAAAAAAATTTTTTTGAATAGAGAACTCTTGCTGTGGCCTGAATCCCATTTCTTCACCCCACCCCAACTATAAGAGGTTGCGGTGGACAGGTCCCTGCCTTTCACTTCATATAGAGGAGGGCTTCAAATGGATCAAGAGGAGAGTTTGAAATATGTCTCCTAGGACTTTATCTAGGACCAGAACTGAGGCCACACAGATAAGAAGGGAGAAGTAATCTTGCATAGGAATTCAGCACATGCTCCAAGATTTTATTGCAGAAAAAATGTGTGAGTATATGATACCCCAAATGAATTCACTTATGAAGCATAACCATAAAAGAGTCATCTTTGATTTTATCATTGGAAACCACCTGAATGGGGGAGACTATCTCAGGCCAAATAATTGATCAAATTTCCAGATACTAAAGGATAAGCAAGGAGTTGCAAATGACCAATCAGGGAAGTTATTGCATCCAGCATGAGGAAACTGCAGGCCAGATATCCTCAGAGTTAGCTAATTTCCAAAGAACTCATGAAAACTTTTTAGGAATAGAATTGTTTCATCTCAATTATGTTATTCTGTTTATGTAAGCATGGTCCTTGTAGTACCCTACAGTGAAGAGGAATTTATCTGTCTCATATGCAGTATTTTTAATACCACTTTTATTTCTGTATTTAGATTGCACAAAATATTTCTACTCAAGAATGTAATAATGTGCTGCTGATTTGCTAATGAGTAATTTACTTAGAGGACTTTCACATCCAGAAATTAGTAATGCTGAAACAGTAGAAGTGTAAGTGAAGTAAGTACCTTCCATTCCTTTCCCATTTTCTTTCTTGTGTCCTTTCTCTTAAATACATCAACTTTAAGAAGTCAAACCCTGAATTTACAAAATAGGGAAAGGAGCAGTCAACATCAGATGAGGCAACAGAGAATTATTCCACCATATCTTTCTCCTTTTAAACTTATTCTATTGGTTGATATTCCATTCTTTTCTTTATATACGTATAGTCGTTGTAGCACAAACTTTGAGTAAAGAGAAGTCTCTCTAATTGGTTATTATCTTATGATCTGTTTTCTCTCGATTTGAGTTTTACAAAATTCTATACACAAGCAGATGTAACAATGCTAATATTCCTAATGATGAATTTGCCTTTACTTTTTTTTTTGAGAGAAGGAGTTTCGCTCTTGTTGTACAGGCTGGAGTGCAATGGCATGATCTCAGCTCACTGCGACCTCCTGGGTTCAAGCAATTCTTCTGCCTCAGTTTCCCAAGTAGCTAGGATTACAGAAGCCCACCACCACACCTGGCTAATTTTAAAATATTTTTAGTAGAGATGGTGTTTCACCGTGTTGGCCAGGCTGGTCTTGAACTCCTGACCTCAGGTGATCTGCCCACCTCGGCCTCCCAAAGTGCTGGGATTACAAGTGTGAGCCACCACACTTGGCCTTGCCATTATGTTTTTTATAGGTTTATTAAGGTATAATCAATATAAAAACCTGCACATATTTAATGTATACAATTTGATGCATTTGTTCACACACATACACCCACAATACCATCACCACAATCTAGGTAAAACTATTACCACAAAATTTTCTTTGTAACCCTTTGCTCTGTTGTGTGTAGGTATGTGCAGTAAGAACACTTGACATGAGATCTATTCTCTTAACAAATTTAAGTGGACAACAAAGTATTAACTATAGGACTAAACTTTAGGTATAAATAACAAATTGTGTTTTTAAAAAATGTGAAAATATTGCTCTTGAAATATGTTTTCTGAATGAGTATTTACTTTTAGAAGTAGTTTAAAGCAAAGAGATTTAGGCCATATCCTACAACTTATTAAAGTATTAAAATATATGAGTAGAATAAAGATTACTAGGTACAAAAGCTATATATCATCTTGTCATTTTTTTTCAGTAAATAATAACATGTTCTTATTCATTCAGACTGAAGCCGTGTAAACACATGTTTCTACACACAAAAGGAAACCCTGAATTGTTGAATTGTTCTGGTATAAACTGGCTCAAACAGACACTTGAGGGTTTAAGAGGGAATGCCATGACCAACAAATCCAGACGCTCTATGAGCTCCACTAAATCCAACAGAAACATTGAGCTTTATACTTTTACCCTTGAGACAGTTTGAATTGAATAGCTATTTGCAGAGTTATGTGAGGGTGAGACAAAAATGAATGTACCATGTAAAATAGTGTTTCAAATAACATATTGGTTTGAAGATATTTGTTCCAATTTTTATAAGGTTTTATTTCTTTCCAACAAGTTGGTTCAGCTTGTTAAAAAGAATATTGCCTTTTAACTCTCTTCTCCTTGAGAACAACATAAACATAGTTAACCTATATGGTCACATTCTTCTGAGACTAGTAGTGAATAAAAGAGGACATTGTGTGGACAGTCAGCAATTCTTTTCCTGCTTAGTACCCCGTAAACTGTGTAATTATCTGAGGTGTTGCTATAAATCCAGTATTTACAACATGCATTCCTTAGACGGTGAAGTAATTGCACGTGTCATAGGTGAAAAAATGTTTCATTTTTTTTCTCTGAGACACTTTAAAAAAATTATTGAATGTATGCTTTGGAAGAAATGTGAGTGTAAATATTATGCAATCCAATGTATGACATTCTGGCAATACTACTTTAAACAATACATCTAACAATAGTAGCAACAGTTTGTCTTATTTCTACTGAACATAATATGACTAATGACATTACTGCTATGTTTTGGGGTTTCTTATGCTTTCAGGATAGATTATTTTAGATATTCTCACACGACCTTGCTATTCCTGGTCTCTCATGAAAAATTAAAACATTTTTATGTTTTATGTTTTATGACTTAAAACCATTCTTACCTCTTTCATTTCGTCTTGGTGCACAAGTTCAGGGTTACATAAAATTTGTTTCATTAGGAAATTGTAGAGCAGATTGAGGTTACCAATAAAATGTCTTAGAAAGTTATTGCCAAGGAACTGAATTCATTTTGTTGGTTGCTCTCTGTTTTTATAGTCTTTGCTTTTGTTCCTCGACACAAACATACACACACACACACGCACAAACACACACTTACTTATAATTCCTGAGCAATTTATAAACCAAGCCACCTTTAAGCCTCAGAAGCAAATCAGATCCATGAGGCTGTGTGCCAAGGCAACTGTGCGTCAGAATGTAACACAACATGGAGCTTCATAGTTGACCGTGGTCAAAGAACTTTAACTCCCAAAGCTCTCAGCCTTTGTTTTGCCTCAGTGTTTATCCATGTATTCATTTACAAAACTTTTTATTAAGAGCCAATGTGAACAAGAAGGAAATTCTTTCTTTCTTTTATTATTATTTTTTTTTGAGACAGTGTCTTGCTCTATCACCCAGGCTGGAGTGCGGTGGCTCGATCTCTGCTCACTGCAACTTTCACCTCCTGGGTTGAAACAATTCCCCTGCCTCAGCCTCCTGAGTAACTGGGATTACAGGCATGCACCACCATGCCCGGCTAATTTTTTGTATTTTTAGTAGAGAAGCAGTTTCACCATATTGGTCAGGCTGGTCTTGAACTCCTGGCCTCAAGTGATCTGCCAGCCTCGGCCTGCCAAAGTGCTGGGATTATAGGTGTGAGCCACTGAGCCCGGCCTACAATGGAAATAATTTCTGCCCTTGTGAGATTTACAGTCTAGTAGGGGAGACATTAAACATGAAAACCAAAACATATATATCCATAACAAAATATATGCATGTTATGAGTTTGACTGTAATGGCTTAATCAACTAGGGATTTGTTTTCTCATATTAAAAAAGTTTTGTTGTGACAGATTCTAATTTCCAAAGATGGATATACCAATATATTCTATCTTAAATGTTCTTTCCATAATTGAGAGGTAGAGCTTATGCTGTTTCCTCTTGAATAAGGTGGGGTTCAACTATTACAAAAGTAACACTATGTAACTTCCATGTCTAAATTATAAAGGAAAGAAAGCTTTTGTCTGATCCTTTTAGGAGGCTTGATCTTAGAAAACAGCTGTCCTTCGGTACAGAATCCAAGCAGCCACATGGATTGGCCATGTGTAGGATTTCCAGCCCCAACCCCAGAACAAGCTGAAGACTCAGCCAATAGTTACCATCAACCTCTATTATTTTCCCGAATGAGTTTTCAAGTGATTCTAACACTGTTTTCAAATTTCCCTGACTGACACTGAGTGAAGCAGAAATGAACTCTCTCTGATGAACCCTGGCCAAACTGCAGATTTGTGAGTAAAATTAATGTTGTCATTCAAGTCACTAAGTTTTGGGTTTGTTTGAGCAGACTTTGATATCTGTAAGTGGGATTCTGGCAAATATATATATTTAACATATATAAAAAACATTTAATTTTATGTGTTTTATATAAAACATTTAATTTTATGTATTTGTGTGTATGGCTTTGCAAACAAGTGGCAAGCGGACAAAAGGAAGCTTGACAAATCTTGAAAGAAGAGGTAATAAAAGCCAAAAAGTAAGAGATTATTAATGAAGCCCGATGGCTCTCAAAAAAACTATCAATGAGAGATTTGAGAAAAGTAGATACTGGTGGCCGGAGGAAAGGGTACACTTGTTATGTGGTATTAGAAAGTTTAGAAACTTTGTCACTTGTAGTAACATGAAAAATAGGATATCTGTTTAATGATCTAGACCACCACTTATCTCAGATGTTTCCCAGGGAAGTTTTGAAGATGCTGCTTGCTTCTTCCTGTCTATAGTAAAATAAGAAAGGAACAAGTTATGCTAAACAGATTGTTAGGTACACATGAACTAGTATTTACTGAATTAAAAAAAATACTTTCTCATTTCCTGCTTATTTAGATATAGAAAAAGAGATGCTAAAATTAAGAAATGACTTCTGAGCAAATATCAAATCCAGGGTGATGTCCATGGTATAGAGAACCAGAACAACAGTAACAATCCAGAGTGTTTCCTCTTTCTGCTTTGCCGTCTTAAGCATGTGGATTTTCTGCTCATATTCACATAATGGCTGTTCCATCTGCACATATTGCATCTTATTCCACATAGGAGGGAGGATGCAGCCAAAGGGCTAAGGTTGCATAAGTTACCAGGATCTCTCTGTTTCAATTTCAAAATTACTAAATAGTGGTTAATAATGGTAACTATCTCATGAGTCATTTGTAAGAATTACATTTGTTTATAAGTATAAAGCATTTTGAATCATGCTAGAAATATGAGTGCCACAATAGTATCTGCTTAAACGGAGAGGAAACAAGCATAAGCATGTTCTTCTGATTGGTAAAGCAATACCTTTTGCAAAAGTCCTGATTTGCAGCATTATTTTTACCTCACTTTGGCCAAAATTGAGTCACATGGTTTTAATGGGGTACAATTCCACATTCAGGAGTATCAAAGCCTTAACAGCAAGGAAAAAGAAAAAAATGGACACTGGATGGGCAGCCATGGTTATGTCCTGAAAAACGTATTGAAAGCCCATGTGACCATATACTAGGAATTCTGAACCTAGCCTGAGGACCTACAATACATAATGTAAGCTAGAAATATTTAGCAAGAATTTATAATACATATTTGTGACATAATTTTTGATATTGATAGAGTACTTAGGAGTAATATTAGGGGATAACCATAATAAACTTTGAAGACTAAAGTAACAATGCATTTGCTCATTTAAGCCATTACGTGTGTATATAAACATTTTTTTCTTATACATACATTCACATATTTACAATTTCCAATGTTTGCATTCCTTCCTTTTTATCTGAGTTACACTCTGGTGTCATTTTTGTATCTTGTAGATATTCTTAAACATTTTTTTGTTGTACGATATCAACACTTCCTTTCAGATTTGGACTACCTAAAAATACATATTTTCATTTTGAAGGATAGTTTCAGTGATATGGCATTTTTAATTGACTTTTAAAACATATCGTAATATATTACTTGAATTATCTTTTAAGTATTCATTGCTTCTGCTGAGAAGTTAGCTATTAATTGCATTGCTAATATAATTATATAAAATGTTAGTTTTCTCTTGCTGTTTTCAAGATTTCCTTTTCTCATTTGGCTTTATGCAGTCTGACTATGCTGTGACATATATATATTTTATATATATATCACCTTATATATATATGTATATATTGCAAAGAGAATATAGAGAGCTCACATATACTCTCCTCTCCCCAGTTTCCCTTAAGATATTAAATTACTATGGTACATTTATTACAATATTTTAATATTGATACATTATTATTAACTAAAGTCAATGCAGTTGGTCCTTGGTAGCCATGTGTTCCACACATACAACCTACCAACCACAGATGAAAAATATTTGAAAAAAAGAAGAAATAACAATGTAATAATAATTCAAATTTAAAAATCAATGCAGTATAAAAATTATTTATATAGCACTTAGACTATATTAGACATAAGCAATCTAGAGATGATTTAAAGTACAGGCATACTTCAGAGATATTGCAAGGTTTAGCTCTAGACCACCACAATAAAGTGAATATTGCAGTAAAGAAAATCACAAGAATTTTTTGGTTTCCCAGTGCACATAAAAGTAAAGTTTACACTATGCTGTAGTCTATTAAGTGTGCAATAGCATTATGTCTAAACAATAATCTACATACTTTAGGTAAAGAATACGTTGTTGCTAACAAGCTCTAAGGCAGTTCTCTGCCTTTGCAGAGTCATAGTCTTTTTGCTAGTAGAAGGCCTTGCATCGATGTTGATGGCTGCTGCTAATAGGGTACTGACTGCAGAAGGTTGGGTAGCTGTGGCAATTTGTTAAACAATGAAGTTTGCTATAACGATTGGCCCTTCCTTCCACGAAAGATTTCTCTGTAGCATTCAATGCTGTTTGATAGCATTTTACCTACAGAACTTTCAAAATTGGAGTCGATCATCTCAGACTCTGCCACTGCTTTATCAATTGAGTTTATGTAATATTCTCTACATTCACTTACTTTTAAGCTATGTATGTGTTTATATTGAAAGTGGATTTCTTGTATACAACAGATTTGTGTCTTGTTTTTTAATACATTCTGACAACCTTTGTCTTTTCATTGATATATTTAGACCATTGACATTCAATGTGATTATTGATGTAATGGGATTAATATCTACCATATTTATTACAGTTTTCTATTTGTTATCCTTGTTCTTTGTTATTTTTGTCTTCTACTCCTTTCGTGCCTTTTACGGTTTTAATTGGGCATTTTATATGATTTTCTTTTCTCTCCTTTCTCAGCGTGTCACCTAGGTATATAATTTTTTACTTTTTTTAGTGGCTGCCCTAGAGTCTACAGTAGACATTTACAACTAATCTAAGACCACTTTCAGGTAACACTGTACCACTTCACAGGTAGCATGAGTACCTTAAAATAATAAGATAATCCTGATTCCTCCCTCCTTTCTCTTATATTGCTGTCATTCATTTCACTCATTTCACTTATTATGAACGACATTGCTGTCATTCATTTCACTTATATAGAAGTATAAATAAACATATATATGAAATAACAGCATACATAATTGAATACATTGTTGCTATTATTATTTTGAATAGACTATTATCTCTTAGATCAACTAAGCAAAAGAAAGAATTCTATTTTATCTTCACTTATTCCTTTTTGGATGCTCTTCCTTTTTTTAATGTAGATCTGAGTTTCTGATGTTTTTCCCTTTGCTAAAGAACTTTTTTTTTTTTTTTTTTTTTAAGACGGAGTCTCTCTCTCTCGCCCAGGCTGGAGTGCAGTGGCGGGAACTAGGCTCACTGAAAGCCCCGTCCCCCACGGCCCCCCGGGTTCACGCCATTCTCCTGCCTCAGCCTCTTGAGTAGCTGGAACTACAGGCACCTGCCACCACGCCCAGCTAATTTTTTGTATTTTTAGTAGAGATGGGGTTTCACCGTGTTAGCCAGGATGGTCTCGATCTCTTGACCTCGTGATCCGCCTGTCTCCGCCTCCCGAAGTGCTGGGATTACAGGCGTGAGCCACGCGCCTGGCCCTCTAAATAACTTTTAACATTTCTTCTGAGGCGGATTTACTGGCAACAAATTCCCTCACTTTTTGTCTGTCTGAGCAAGGCTTTATTTCTCCTTCAGTTTTGAAGGACAATTTCTCAGGGTACAGAATTATAGCCTGGGTTTTTTTGTTTTGTTTTTTCCCTCTCAACACTTGTCTCAGTCTATTTGTGTTGTTATAACAAAATACCAGAGACAGGGTAATTTATAAAGAAGAGAAGTTTCTTACAGTTTAGGAGTCTAGGAAATCAAATATCAAGGTGCTAGCATTCCACATGTGGTGAGAAATTCCCCATGCATCCTCATATGGCAGAAGGAGCAGATGTTGAGTCCTTATATGGCAGGGAGAAGTGGAAGAACAAAAGGCCAAAAGGAAACTAAAAGCTTTGGAACCTCTTTTATAAAGGCCCTAACTCATTCATAAGGCAGGGGCCCCCATGACTTAACCACCTCTTAAAGGCCTCACCTGTTAATACTATCACACTGATGCTCAATTTCCAACATGAAATTTGGTGGACACATTCAGACCATATCAACACTTTAAATATTTCACTCTACCCTCTTCTTGGATGGTTTCTGACAAGTTACATATGGTTTGTATCTTTGTTCCTCATAGATAACAATTTTTTCCTCTGACTCCTTTTAGATATCATTATTATTATTATTATTATTGTACCCTCGATTTTCTGTAGCTTGGAAATGATATGCCTGGGCAGTTTTTGTTTTGTTTTGGCATTTATCCTGCTTGGTGTTCTCTGAGCTTGCTGGATCTGTGGATTGATGTTTGTCATTGATTTGGAAAAATTCTCAATCATTATTGTTTCAAATATTTTTTTCTGTTCTTTTGTCTCTTTCTTTCCCTTCTGGAATTTCCATTACATGTATGTTACTCCTGTTGTAGTTGTCCACAGTTCTTGGATATTCTCTTCTATTTTTTTTTCAGTCTTTTCGTATTTGAGTTTTAAAGATTTCTATTAAGATATCCTCAAGCTTGGGGATTCTTTCCTCAGCAGTGTTCAATCTACTAATAAGCCCATCAAAGGCAGTCTTCATTTCTGTTACAATTTTATTTTTGTTTTTTTACCTCTATTATTTCTTTCGATTCTCTCTCAGGATTTTCATTGCTCTGCTCACATTGCTCATCTGTTTTTGCTTGCTGTTGACTTTTTGTGTGTGTGTGTGTGTGTGATAGAGTCTCGCTCTGTTGTCCAGGCTGGAGTACAAATTGTGCAATCTTGGCTCACTGCAACGTCCACTTCCTGGGTTTAAGTATTCTCCTGCCTCAGCCTCCCGAGTAGCTGGAACTACAGGCATGCACCACTATTTTGTATTTGTAAATACTATTTTGTATTTTCAGTAGAGATTGGATTTCACTATGTTGGACAGGCTGGTCTCCAACTCCTGACCTCAAATAACCCACCCATCTTGGCCTCCCAAAGTGCTAGGATTACAGGTGTGAGCCACCACACCTGTAGCAGATTAGGTTCTGGTTAACGAGTTTCTCCTGAGCACGGGCCTTGTTAAGAAGAACAGAGTGCTCTGAAACATTTCACTATGGCTCCGTTTCCCCAGCCTCTGCCAGAAGTGGGAGAATATTTTCCTCTGATATTTAATTGAAGACCTTGGTCAAGTTTCTGAAGGTAAGACTCACAAAAGTATGGGGCCCCTCCATGACTATGTCACCCTGGAGTTTTTAACTCACATCCATGTCCACACTGAGCCTCCAGGAATTAGTTAATTACACTTTCAGATTTTCTTGCCCTAGCACTGGTTCCTGCAGAGGTTTCAGTTCTGGAGTCTCTGCATGAGTAAGCCATGGCTCCCTTTGTTCCCATCTGGCTCTCCAATCTTGGGGGCAGTGGTTTGTCCCATGTCCTCACCTTTCTTGTGACTCCAAAGAGGGTTGTTGATTTTCCATTCTATTCAGCTTTTAGCTTGTTTTTAGAACTGAGTGGTGATGTTCAAGCTCCTTATGCAGAACCAGAAACTGGAAGTCCTGCTGGGCTGACTTATGTTTGTTCTACTTTGACCTCATTGAGATCAAATTTGTAAATTAATGTTTTTCAACAAGTTTATGATATTTCAGCCATTGTTTGACAGTTTTTTCTCTTTTTTCTTTAGTGCTACAGTTACACACATATTAGATGTGTATACTAGATGATTAGATACTATATTAGAAACTATATTACATGTGTGTATATTAAATGGTCAGATACTTTTTACAGGCATCTGAGGAACTGGTGTTTTTATTCATATTTTTTCTCTTTTTTTAGGTTTTGTGTATTTTTATCTTGTCTCAAGATAATTGAATCTACTGTCATATTAAATCTGATGTTGAATATTCTGGTAAATTTTTGTTATTCAATTTTAAGCTCTGGATTTTTCCACTTTATAGTTCTCACTTCTCTGTTGAGAGTGTCTGTTCACTCATTAATTTCATGCTGTCCTTTGATTTTTTAAAAAACAGTTTTCTGTAATTATTGACTATATATATATAATAGTTTCCTTGAAGTTATTCACTAAATATAATATTTGAACCCATTTGGAGTCAGTTTCTGTTAGCTGCTTTTTTCCTCCTTAAACTATGAGTCATATTTTTCTCTGTCTATTCGTTTTTGGTTAAAATTGAGACACTGTACATCATAGGATTTTTGGCTGTGGATTCTTTGTGGATTCTTTGTTCTTCTGAGTACTGTTTATTTTTTATTCTAGTGAGCAATTAACTTGACTGAAATTAAAATGTGAGCTTTGTCTACCTGCAATGTTTAATAGCTGATGCCTCTGCTCTATTTTTTTTACATTCTTGCAGCTCATTTTTTAGCCTGGCTACTTAGTGGCTTCCCTGTGTTTGCACAGTCTACAGGTCAGCCATGGAGTTGTTTAGAATTAAGATTTTGGAGTTCACCCTTTCTGTAATATTCTATCTTGTGTAATTCCCATTTAATTTTCCAGCTGCTCAGTCCAGACTTCAGCCCTCTGACCTTAAACCAGAGTAGGTTTTAGCCTTCTACGTCCCACACTGTGTCCAGAGAGGAGAACATAGTCACAATTACTTCAGACTCTCAAATCTCACCAGGGGCATGTGTATCTTTCAAGGGTAGAATCTTCCCTCATGTCTGTCATCAACCTTCAGGCTGCCCGAAGCCTACCTGGGGCCTGTGTAGTAATTGGATAGCCAGAGATTTGGGCAGAGTTTATATTAAAAATTTGGATTTAGCCATTCCATGGCTTTTTCCTTTCCCAAATTTAGTCATCTGTCACCTTGAGGTGGTAAGCCAGTGAGTTTTCTTCACTAGATCTCAAGTTGGAGAATGCATTCAAACTAAACAGCCACACCACACATTCACATTCCTTACCCAATAGAATAATATTTTTTCACGAATAAACTTTCCTCAATTTTTTGCCTGACTTTGGTTGTGTCTAATGATTTGATGTAGTATTTTTAAATAATTAGTATGTATGGGAGGAATTGACCACAATATGTACTGTCTTTATCAGAAGTCCCAAATATTTTGTTAATCATTCTAATTTCTATTCAGCTATAATAGCATTTTTACTTACGTGTGTACACATTTCTTTTAGGATGATGGAATAATCACTATTGTGTATTGGTGTGGCACAGTGTACTTACTTACCTACTCAAGACTATCTGAAGTGGAATATCACCTTGATTCATTTACCATAAGTCATTTGATTGAGATCATTTGCTTAAGTTTCCAAATTGCTCCTGTCCATGTCTGTCATATTTTCCCTAATAGTAAATAATTAATTCTCCACTAACTCCTCCCTTCATACCACTCATTTTTTTATGACCTAAATATCTAAATGTTTATTACTTCTTTAAAAATAATTCTAATATCCAGTTACTGAGTAAAGAATTTACAGAGGCTGGGCAGGATTAGAAGCAGTTGCAGTTGTACATTCCAATTTGTCTAGCCATGGTGGGGAGGGAGAGATTTTAAAGGAATAAAAATTAAAGGGTAAAAGCTATTCCTTATATCTTCCTTTCCACTCCAGTTTTCATGTTAGGACAGATACTTATTGTGCATACCCTACATTTTTCCATCTTGCTAATCCTCTGCCGATGTAAAGATAACATTCCAAATAAGCAATGGTGTGAGAGGAAAAAGCATATTTACTTATGTACTCCTTTTGAAACTTTTTGATCATTGTCTTCATATACATTATGATATGTTATTCCAAATGATGACCAAAAATTTTTCTAGTTTATCTTATGATGTGTGATTGTTTCATACATCTAAAAAGGTTTGAAACATAACAGTCAAAGTTTTGCAGCTTTAATATTTAAACATAGATTTAGTCTAAATATACAAAGGATAGATGTGTATGTGTGTGTGCACACATGGGTGTGTGTGCATGAATGTTTGAAGAGTCAGTGTGATTGGGAATTTGTGAACATCTCTGAATCAAAATTTATGATTCAAAGGCTAAGAATATGATCTGTTATTTAAATTTTTAATATTATCTGACTAGAGAACAAAGGAGTTAAGCTGGAGTAGTAGGTGCAAGTCAAGTTATTGTGTTTTACACCCTCTTTTCTGTAGTGCATTCTGAGCTCTAAAAACATGACTGACACAATCTTTGTTGGGAATCTTGTGTCTTTAAGTAGAAATATCAGAAATGAATAGAAAGAATGCTCAATTTGTGCTTTTCTTGTCTGGTCACATACTTCTACCTCCAGCCATATGTCATTAATATAGCTAATGGGATTTTGGCATCAAACTGTCTGGGAAGGGATGAAATAAATGTGGAGGCAGGCAAATGCCAATGATATGTGCAAGGAAAGCACTCAGTATTTCTCTTGTTTAAGCAGCAGCAGCTCCATCACCCTTCCTTGCAGCCTTCACTGACAGGGCTGGAGGTCCTTCTATACATGACCATGCCTCATGTATTCATGGGCTGCTGTGATACCACAGCCCCTTTTGTTAAGAACTGAAAATACAGCGTGTTGCTTTGCTTCTCTCAGCTGCCATATGGCTTTGTGAAAACTGGCCTAAAAGGAAGCAGGAAGAAAGAAAAAAAAAACACTAGAAATAAAACAACCAACAGATGAAACTGATTTATTTTCAGCATTAAGAGATGTGGGCGGTGGCCTTTCAGAAACATAAAACTTTGCACTGAGTAGGCAAACAGGCTGCTCATGTGACAGCTCTTGTATACTTTTTTTTAAAAAAATAATATGTAGCAGAAAATAGAAGCCCCATTGTTTTACTTAACTACTGTATCCAATTTGAGTGAAATGGAATTTTCAAGCTTAAGTAAACTGACTGCCCAGTTTGCCAGTGTACTTTTTTAGTTTGACAAAATACTTTAGAACTTTAAAATATGTATTGAGCATCAGCCTTCTAAAAGTTGATCTTACTCTAAAAGTTTTGCAAATAATTCTAGACTGTAAATCACTTTGAGTTCTTCTACTTTAAGCTTCTCAATTTAGGCAGTTACAGCACTTTTCTAAATTGCTTTAAAAGCCTAGTGGAATATATCTAAAGGATGGGTTTAGAAATGATATTTTGTCGTTCTGTAAAGATGTGAAAAGAGTGCTAGAAAAACAAACTAATAAAGGAAATATATTTGAAAAGACAATCACATCTCTGAACAAATTTATTAAATTGAGATATTTCAATTTTAAGAACAAGAATATTTGAGTTCCAGAATGTTATTTTATCGGACTATACTGTTTTCAGTTGTACATTTAAAATGATAAACAAAGGTTAGTGTAATAGAGGACACAGGTATACAGAAATAAAGATTGCTTTATTGATTAATTGATATTTGCTACCTTATTTTCTTAGTTTGGTGCTTAAGTGTATATTGCTAAAACACGTTATTTTTTAAGAGTTTCTGATATTTATATAAATCTAACCACTGGGTTATCTATTCCTGAATTTTGAACTTTTATTTTAAACATAGGCTAAAATATATCAGGTTCAACGTAATATATAGGAGAAAGTAGGCTGTATATACTCAAGGGACTTCTTTCTTAATTTATTAAAAAGAATTCAGAGAGATAGCTCCATGTGGGTGGTCTGAATGATATTGAGTAGTGTCATAGTTTAGCTCTATCAATCATAAATTTTTTACTTAGGCAAATCACTTATCTTCTCTCCATACATTCTTTTCTGTCTCATAATTTTCCTAAATTTCTTTAAAAAATATATCCCTGTTTCGAATATATCTTGCTCCAAAGCCTAGAATTTAAATAGACAAAATTGGTGCTGCTCTGAAAATCTTCAGATGTCTAGACAAAGATGCTTCATGAGATTCAGTACTGTTCTTCCCCTCTTGGTGGGTGGTCCCTTGGCAATTTCTTTGGAGAAACCAATTGTGTAATTTGTAAAAATACTTATCAATCTAAAATTGAATTATTTCATGAGAAATGAAATTGATGGCTTATATTGATCATGACATCTGTGTGTTGGTTGATTTGAAAGAGGAGGCTCAGGCCCTTACTGGTTCTATGTGCAAGAGGTTATTTTTTATTCCATTTACCAGCCAATTAAATTCTGAGCACCTATGCTTTGGGCTAGATTTGAACATTTCAAAGAAAGACAACATTTAAGAATCTTTAAATACTAGCTAAAAGTTTTATTTATATACTACTTATGTTTGATATATATATATATAATATCTTTAACATAATATTCTTATGTATTTTTAAGTACTAGATACCTATAAGTATTTAAGAAAGAAATGCATTGAAAAAGAATCTAAAAGTTAAAAAAGTCTTCTCTTGTTTTTCTGCATAAAGTAGATTTATTTTTATTAAGACCACATGGTATTTGGCGGTGTGGTTTAGAATTGTGAAGCTCAAGAAGAGATTATATTACCTGAATTAAAAATACAGGGAAGGAGAAAGAACAAAATTGCTTTCAAATAACATATATATTCCAAAACATGTTCAGTTTTCAAATGTGCAGTTGCTACCAGCAATTCATTGTGACTTTAGTCTCTGTACATCCTTCTCATTCTGCAACTATCCTAAAGAACTGGCTGTCTTCTGTATCACAAAAAATCAAGTTCTTCTTTAGCAAAAATCTGGGAAGCATATGGTGGTGTGCAGTTGTGTGCATATGTCTTCCTTGTCTCAGAGGTCGGACAATGGCATGTTGCTTATGGCTAACTTTGTGTACGTCCAATTTTTGCTCCACTTGTTTTCTAGCTAAGAGAAAGTAGAACTGTAGCTTCTTCTTACTTTGTCATTACTTGTTCAAAGGAGAACGTACTATAACAACTTGGTATTTTGAATGGTTTCAACAGAGGTCAGAAAAATCCTGTCTTGTGTGATGTTTTGAACCTTGATGATTTTTCTGCCTTATTTTCTTTGTTCTTTTTCGTAAACCTTTGTCTTAATGCCCATTTTTAATCAATAAATAATAATTGTACAAATTTATGTGGTACATATGATGTTTTGATACATGCATACAATGTGTAATGATCAAATTAGGGTAAGTAGAATACCCACTACTTCAAACATTTATTATTAGTGTTGGAAACATTCCAAATCTTCTCTTCTAGCTATTTAAAATATACGATAATTTATTAACTGTAGTACCCTACTCTGTTACCAAACACTAGCACTGATTGCCTCTTTCAAACCATATTTTTGTACCCATTAACCAGCGTCTCTTCATCCCTCCCCTACTTCACTTCCCAACCTCTGGTAATGACCACTCTACTCTCTACCTTTAAGAGACCAACAGTTTTAGCTCCCATATATAGCAAGAAGATGTGATATTCGTCTTCCTTTGTCTTGCTTATTTCACTTAACACCAGGTCCTCCAATTCCATCCATGTTGTTGAAAATGGCAGAATTTTATTTTATTTTTTATTGTATTTGTTTATATATTTTTATTATATTTTAAGTTCTGGGATACATGTGCAGAACGTGAAGGTTTGTTACATAGGTATACATGTGCCATGGTGGCTTGCTGCACCCATGAATCTGTCATCTTGGTTTTAAGCCCCGCATGCATTAGGTATTTGTCCTAATGCTATTTCTCCCCTTGACCCCCACCCCCCAACAGGCTCTGGTGTGTGATGTTCCCCTCCCTGTGTCTATGTGTTTTCATTGTTCAACTCCCACTTATGAGTGAGAACATGCGGTGTTTGGTTTTCTGTTCCTGCATTAGTTTGCTGAGAATGATGGTTTCCAGCTTCATCCATATCCCTGCAAAACACATGAACTCATTCTTTTTTATGGCTGCATAGTATTCCATGGTGTATATGTGTCACTTTTTCTTTATCCAGTCTATCATTGGTGGGCATTTGGGTTGGTTCCAAGTCTTTGCTATTTAAATAGTGCTGCAATAAACATACGTGTGCATGTGTCTTTATAGTAGAATAATTTATAATCCTTTGAGTATATACCCAGTAATGGGATTGCTGGGTCAAATGGTATTTCTATTTCTAGATCCCTGAGGAATCGCCACAGTGTCCTCCACAATGGTTGAACTAATTTACACTCCCTCCAACAGTGTAAAAGCATTCCTATTTCTCCACATCCTCTCCAGCATCTGTTCTTTCCTGACTTTTTAATGATTGCCATTCTGACTTGCATAAGATGGTATCTCATTGTGGTTTTGATTTGCAATTCTCTAATCACCAGTGATAATGAGCTTTTTTTCATCTGTTTGTTGGCTGCATAAATGTCTTCTTCTGAGAAGTACCTATTCAGATCCTTCACCCACTTTTGGATGAGGTCGTTTGTTTTTCTTCCTTGTAAATTTGTTTAAATTCCTTGTAAATTCTGGGTATTAGACTTTTGTCAGATGGGTATTAGACTTTTGTCAGATGGATAGATTGCAAAAATTTTCTCCCATTTTCTAGGTTGCCTGTTCATTCTGATGATAGTTTCTTTTGCTGTGCAGAAGCTCTTTAGTTTAATTGGATCCCATTTGTCAATTTTAGCTTTTGTTGCCATTGCTTTTGGTGTTTTAGTCATGAAGTCTTTGCCCATGCCTGTGTCCTGAATGGTATTGCCTAGATTTTCTTCTAGGGTTTTTATGGTTTTAGGTCTTACACTTAAGTCTTTAATCCATTTTGAGTTAATTTTTGTATAAGGTGTAAGGCAGGGGTCCAATTTCTGTCTTCGACGTATGGCTAGCCAGTTATCCCAGCACCATTTATTAAATAGGGAATCCTTTCCCCATTGCTTGTTTTTGTCAGGTTTGTCTAAGATCAGATAGTTGTAGATGTGTGGTGTTATTTCTGAGGCCTCTGTTCTGTTCCATTGGTCTATATGTCTGTTTTGGTACCAGTACTATGCTGTTTTGGTTACTGTAGCCTTGTAGTATAGTTTGAAATCAGGTAACGTGACACCTCCAGCTTATGTTCTTTGTGTTTAGGGTTATCTTGGCTATACAGGCTTTTGGGTTCCATATAAAATTTAAAGTAGTTTTTTCTAATTCTGTGAAGAAAGTCAGTAGTAGCTTGATGGGGATAGCATTGAATCTATAAATAACTTTGGGCAGTATGGCCATTTTCACAATATTGATTCTTCCTATTCATGAGCATGGAATGTTTTTCCATTTGTTTGTGTCCTCTCTCATTTCCTTGAGTAGTGGTTTGTAGTTCTTCTTGAAGAGTTCCTTCATATCCCTTGTAAGTTGTATTCCTAGGTATTTTATTATCTTTGTAGCAATTGTGAATGGGAGTTTGCTTGTGATTTGGCTCTCTGTTTGTCTGTTATTGGTGTATAGGAACGCTCATGATTTTGCACATTGATTTTGTATCATGAGACCTTGCTGAAGTTGCTTATCAGCTTAAGGATTTTTTTAGGCTGAGACAGTGGGGTTTTCTAAATATGCAATAATGTCATCTGCAAACAGATAACTTGACTTCCTCTCTTCTTATTTGAATACCCTTTTTTTTCTTGCTCTTACCTGATTGCCCTGGCCGAACTTCCAATATTATTTTGAATAGGAGTGGTGTGAGAGAGCATCCTTGTCTTGTGCCGGTTTTCAAAGGAAATGCTCCCAGCTTTTGCCCATTCTGTATAATACTGGCTGTGGGTTTGTCATAAATAGCTCTTATTATTTTGAGATATGTTCCATCAGTATCTAGTTTATTGAGTGTTTTTAGCATGAAGGGGTGTTGAAATTTTTGAAGGCCTTTTCTGCATCTATTGAGATAATCATGTGGTTTTTGTCATTGGTTCTGTTTATGTGATGGATTACGTTTATTGATTTGCTTATGTTGAAACAGCCTTACATTCCAGGGATGAAGCCAACTTGATCATGGTGAATAAGCTTTTTGATGTGCTGCTGGATTCAGTTTGCCAGTATTTTATTGAGGATTTTTGCATTGATGTTCATCAGGGATATTGTCCTGAAATTTTCTTTTTTTGTTGTGTCTCTGCCAGGTTTCAGTATCAGGATGATGCTGGCCTCATAAAATGAGTTAGTGAGGAGTCCCTCTACTTCTGTTGTTTGGAATAGTTTCAGAGGAAGGGTACCAGCTACTCTTTGTACCTCTTGTAGAATATGGCTGTGAATCCGTCTGGTCCTGGGCTTTATTTGGTTGCTAAGCTATTAATTACTCCCTCAATTTCAGAACTTGTTATTGGTCTATTCAGGGATTCAACTACTTCTTGGTTAATCTTGGGAGAGTGTATGTAGCCAGGGATTTATCCACTTCTTCTAGACTTTCTAGTTTATTTGCATAGAGGTGTTTATAGTATTCTCTGTTGGTAGTTTGTATTTCTCTGGGATCAGTGGTGATATCCTCTTTATCATTTTTTATTGTGTCTATTTGATTCTGCTCTCTTTTCGTCTTTATTAGTCTGGCTAGCAGTTAATGTATTTTGTTAATCTTTTCAAAAAACACCTCCTGTATTCATTGATTTTTTTGAAGGGGTTTCTATGTCTCTGTCTCCTTCAGTTCTGCTCTGATCTTATTTATTGTCTTTTGCTAGCTTTTGAATTTGTTTGCTCTTGCTTCTCTAGTTCCTTTAATTGGTATGTTAGGGTGTCCCTTTTACATCTTTCCCACTTTCTGATGAGGGCATTTAGTGCTATACATTTCCCTCTTAACGCTGCTTTAGCTGTGTCCCACAGATTCTGGTACATTGTCTCCTTGTTCTTATTGGTTTCAAATAACTTACTTATTTCTGCCTTAATTTCATTATTTACTCAGTAGTCAGTCAGGAGCAAGTTGTTCAGTTTCCACGTAGTTATGTGGTTTTGAGTGAATTTCTTAATCCTGAGTTCTAACTTGATTGCACTGTGGTCTGAGAGACTGTTTGTTATGATTTACATTCTTTTGCATTTGCTGAGGAGCGTTTTACTCCCAATAATGTAGTCAATTTTAGAATAAGTGCTATGTGGTGCTGCGAAGAATGTATATTCTGTTGATTTGGGGTGATCTGTAGATGTCTATTAGGTCTGTTTTGTCCAGAGGTGAGTTCATGTCCTGGATGTCCTTGTTAATTTTCTGTCTTGTTGATCATCTAATATTGACAGTGCAGTGTGAAAGTCTCCCACTATTATTGTGTGGGGGTCTAAGTCTCTTTGTAGGTCTCTAAGAATTTGCTTTATGAATCTGGGTCTTCCTGTATTGGGTGCATATATATTTAGGATAGTTAGCTCTTCTTGTTGCATTGATCCCTTTACCATTATGTAATGCCCTTCTTTGTCTTTTTTGATCTTTGTTGGTTTAATGTCTGTTTTAGCAGAGACTAGGATTGCAACCCCTGCTTTTTTTTTGCTTTCCATTTGCTTGGTAAATATTACTCCATCCCTTTATTTTGAGCCTCTGTGTGTCTTTGCACATGAGTTGCGTCTCCTGAGTACAGCACACCGATAGGTCAGGTCTTGACTCTTTAGCCAATTTGCCAGTCTGTGTCTTTTAATTGGGGCATTTAGCCAATTTACATTTAAGGTTAATATAGTTGTGTGTGAATTTGATCCTGTTGTCATGATGCTAGTTGATTTTTTTGCACATTAGTTGATGCTGTTTCTTCATAATGTCGTTGGTCTTTATATTTTGGTAGGTTTTGCAGTGGCTGGTACCGGTTTTTCCTTTCCATATTTGGTGCTTCCTTCAGGAGATCTTGCAAGACAGGCCTGGTGGTGACAAAATCCTTCAGCATTTCCTTGTTCTGTAAAGGATTTTCTTTCTCCTGCGCTTATGAAGGTTAGTTTGGCTGGATATGAAATTCTGGTTTGAAAATTCTTTTCTTTAAGAATGTTGAATATTGGCCCCCACTATCTTCTGGCTTGTAGGACTTCTGCAGAGATATCCACTATTAGCTTGATGGACTTCTCTTTGTAGGTAATCTGACCTGTCTCTCTGGCTACTCTTAACATTTTTTCCTTTGTTTCAACCTTGGTGAATCTGACAATTACGTGTCTTGGGGTTGCTCTTCCTGAGGAGTATCTTTGTGGTATTCTCTGTATTTCCTGAATTTGAGTGTTGGCCTATCTTGCTATTTTGGGGAAGTTCTCCTGGATAATTTCCTGAAGTCTGTTTTCCAACTTGGTTCCATTCTCTCCATTACTTCAGGAACACCAGTCGATTGTAGATTTTATCTTTTCACATAGTCTCTTATTTCTTGGAGGCTTTGTTTGTTCCTTTTATTTTTTTCTAATCTTGTCTTCATGGTTTATTTCATTAAGTTGATCTTTAATCTCATATATCCTTTCTTCCGTTTGAATGATTCGGCTATTGATACTTGTGTATGCTTCACAAAGTTCTTTTGCTGTGTTTTTCAGCTCCGTCAGGTCATTTATGTTTCTCTCTAAATTGGTTATTCTAGTTAGCAGTTCCTGTAACCTTTTATCAGGTTCTTAGCTTCCTTGCATTGGGTTAGAACATGCTCTTTGGCTTGTAGTAGTTTGTTATTACCCACCTTCTTCTGTCAATTCATCAAACTCATTCTCTGTCCAGTTTTGTGCCCTTGCTGGCAAAGAGTTGTGATCCTTTGGAGGAGAAGAGGTATTCTAGGTTTTGGATTTTTCAGCATTTCTGCACTGGTTTTGCCTCATCTTCATGGATTTATCTACTTTTGATCTTTGACGCTGATGACCTTTGGATGGGGTTTTTGCGTGGGCATCCTTTTTGTTGACGTTGATGTTATTGCTTTCTGTTTGTTAGTTTTCCTTCTAACAGTTAGGCCTCTTTTCTGAAAGTCTGCAGGAGTTTGCCGGAGGTCCACTCCAGACTCTTTTTGCCTGGGCATTACCAGCAGAGGCTGCAGAACAGCAAGTATTGCTGCCTGCTCCTTCCTCTGGAAGCTTCATCCCAGAGGGGCACCACCCTGATGCTAGCTAGAGCTCTCCTGTATGAGATGTCTGTCGACCTCTGTTGGGAGGTATCTCCCAGTCAGGAGGCACTGGGATCATGGAGCCACTTGAGGTGGCAGTCTGTCCCTTGGCAGAGCTTGAGCTCTGTGCTGGGAGATCTGCTACTCTCTTCAGAGCCAGCAGGCAGGAACGTTTAAGTCTGCTGAAGCTGCACCAACAGCCATTCTTTCCCCCAGGTGCTCTGTCCCAGGGAGATGAGAGTTTTATCTATAAGCCCCTGGCTGGTGCTGCTGCCTTTCTTTTAGAGATACCCTGCCCAGAGAGGAGGAATCTAGAGAGGCAGCCTGACTACAGCGGCTTTGCCATGCTGCAGTGGGCTCCACCCAGTCCAAACTTCCCAGGGGCTTTGTTTACACTGTGAGGGGAAAACTGCCTACTCAAGCCTCAGTAATGTTGGACACCCCTCCCTGCGCCAAGCTCCAGTGTCCCACGTCAACTTCAGACTGCTGTGCTGGCAGCAAGAATTTCAAGCCAGTGGATCTTAGCTTGCTGGGCTCTGTGGGTGTAGGACTCACTGAACAAGACCCCGTGGCTCCCTGGCTTCAGCCCCCTTTCCAGGGGAATGAATGGTTCTGTCTTGCTGGGGTTCCAGGCACCACTAGGGTATGAAAAAAAAAAAAAAAAAAAAACAAACTCCTGCAGTCAGCTCTGTGTCTGCCCAAACAGCCGTCCAGTCTTGTGCTTGAAACCCAGGGCTGTGGTGGTACAGCACACAAGGAAATCTTCTGGTCTACAGGTTGCAAAAACTGTGGGAAAAGTATAGTATCTGAGTCAGATAGCACAGTCCCTCATGGCTTCCCTTGGCTAAGGGAGGGAGGTCCCTGGCCCCTTGCACTTCCTGGGTGAGGCAACACCCCACCCTGCTTCTGCTTGCCCTCCGTGGGCTGCACACACTGTCTAACCAGTCCCAGTGACATAAACTGGGTATCTCAGTTGGAAATGCAGAAATCACCCACCTTCTGCATTGGTCTCACTTGGAGCTGCAGACCAGAAGTGTTCCTATTTGGCCATCTTGCCAGATCTGCGAATTTTATTTTATTTTTTGTATTTATAGCCGAATACTATTCCATTGTGCACATACACTGCATTTTCTTTATCCATTCATTTGTTGACATCCACTCTGGTAGATTCCATTTACTAATTATTGTGAATAGTGCTCGAAAGAACATGTGACTACAGACATATCTTTGAGAAACTGATTTCAAATCATTTGGGTAAAAACCAGAAGTGGTATTGCTGGATCATATGGTAATTCTATTTTTAGTTTTTTGAGGAACCTCCATAGTGTTTTCCATAATGGTTGTACTAATTGACATTCCAATAAATAGTGTAAAAGTGTTCCTTTTTCTCTACATCCGTGACTACACTTGTTATCTTTAGTCTTTTTTTTTTTTTCTAAATGGAGTTTCGCTCTTGTTGCCCAAGCTGGAGTGCAATGGCACTATCTTAGCTCACTGCAACTTCTGCCTGCTAGTTCAAGCGATTCTCCTGCCTCAACCTTCTGAGTAGCTGAGATTACAGGTGCACACCTCCACTTCTGGCTAATTTTTTGTATTTTTAGTAGAAATGGGGTTTCACCATGTTAGCCAGGCTGGTCTCGAACTCCTGACCTCAGGTGTTCCCCCCACCGCTTCCAGCGTCCTAGCATGCTGGGATTACAGACGAGAGCCACCATGCCTGCCCAGCCTCTTTAGTCTTTTTTATATAGCCATGCTAACAGATTGTGAGGTGATTCTCATTGTGATTTTAATTTTCATTTTTCTAATGATTTGTGATGTTGAGCATTTTTCATATACCCATAGGTCATTCATATGTCTCCTTTTGAGAAATATCTATCCAGATTGTTAGAAAAAATCAGATTATTATTATATTATCTGCTCTTGAGTTGAGTTCCTTTTATATTCTGGTTATTAATCTGTGTCAGATGGACAATTTGAAAATATTTTGCCCCATTTTATAGGTTATCCTTTCACTCTGCACATTCTTTCCTTTTCTGTGCAGAAGTTGTTTTTTAGCTTAATGTAATCTCATCTGTCTAGTTTTGATTTTGTTGCCTGTGCTTTTGAGGTCATAATCCCTAATTTTTTTCCCAGGCCAATGTCCTAAAGCATTTCCCCAATGCTATCTTCCAGAAGTTTTATAGCTTCAGGTCTTACATTTAGGTCTTTAATCTGTTTTGATTTGGTTTTTGTATCTATTGAGAGATAGGAGTCTAGTTTTATTATGTTGCATATGGATATCCAGTTTCCCCAGCATACTTTATTGGAAAGACTGTCCTTTCTCCAGTGTATGTTCTTGGGAACTTTGTTGAAAATGAGTTGACTGTAAATGCAGAGATTTATTTCTGGATTCTTTTTTTCTGTTCCATATGTCTATGTGTCTATTTTTAAGGGAATACCTTGCTGACTTGGTTACTATAGCTTGGTAGTATATTTTGAAGTCAGATAGTATGATGATGTCAGCTTTGTTATTTTGTTCAGAATTGCTTTATTTGTTTTTTTTTTTTTTTTGGTAGGGATATACAAATTTTAGGATTTTTTTTTTCTATTTCGGTGAAAAACGTCATTGGTATTTTGATAGAGATTACATTAAATCTGTGGATTTTTTTGAGTAGTATGGTTATTTTAACATGATCATTTTTTCCAATCCATGGGCATGGGAATACCTTTCCAATTTTGTGTCCTCTTCAATCTCTTGTATTGACGTTTTATTGTTTTCATTGTAGAGATTCCTGCCTCAGTTTCATTTGTGATAAGAAGGTATAAGGAAGTAAAGGAATGCTTCAACAGCTAAGCTTTGAATCCTTAAACTAGTCAAAATAATTCTCTTGTTGAGATTCTGGAGTTTTAAAAATCTGCCTCCATTTCTTAGTGATATAAACCTTCAGATTTATTTATTTTTGTATAATTTCATCTCTGTATGATTAGAAACTTTTTTATTGGAACCATTATGATTGTAATAAGCTCCAAGTGAAAATCTTTAATTATCTTACAAGGAAATTTTTTTTTTAAGTTTTATCAAAATATCTGACTGTGACTCTCACTTTTGAATTTATATTTTGATTATCTGGTAACCGTACTGAAAACATGCCTTATGCCGTTATTGCTATAACATTCTCAGAAAATTCTTTTCTATATCTAAATTCCTTGTTTCAAGACTTGTATTGTTTCAAGATTATTGCTGTAACATTCTCAGAAAATTATTTTCTATATCTAAATTCCTTGTTTCAAGACTTGGATTGGCCAGGCATGGTGGCTCACACCTGTAATCCCAGCACTTTGGGAGGCCAAGGCGGGTGGATCAGGAGGTCAGGTGATTGGGACCAACCTGCCTAACGCGGTGTAACCCTGTCTCTACTAAAAATACAAAAATATTAGCCACGGGTGGTGGTGGGCGCCTGTATTCCCAGCTACTCAGGAGGCTGAGGCAGGAGAATGGCATGAACCCGGGAGGTGGAGCTTGCAGTGAACTGAGATCCTACCACTGCACTCCAGCTTGGGCAACAGAGAGAAACCCCATCTCAAAAAAAAAAAAAAAAAGAAAAAGAAAAAAAAAAGATTTGGATTTTACCTCTATCAACACAAATTTAAACATGCATTGTAATAGGTAAAATGATACTATGGGCTATGACTACTTGAGATGATAAATCTGGTGTTTTCTAGAACATTCTTTAAAAACATCCTTCACATTTCTTTTATAAAAAATTTTATAGAAAGTTTTATTGAGATACATAGGATTGATTGACTTCAATGCTACTGCAACAGGTTGAATATAAGATTTTTCTGACTGAACCCATGATAAAATTAAGAATATTTAAGAAAGAGAGCCTCAATAGGGATTCTGAGTAGTATAAAGTTCTTTAAAAAGACAAGTTAGAAACTGAGTATCATTACAAAACTAGAAATTTATTTTTGGTGAGCTAAGTTATTTGTGCTTTCTCCAATATTTTATGCTCCCAGTATTATTGCATTGTTATTAATCTTCCCTGGAAACTAAGAACACAAGAAAATAAATTTTTAAAAATAATCAAAAACATACAATAGGAGTCATTCTTAATTCCTTAGAATTCATATCACTCTGTTGACATTTATATTCTAAAAGAGATGTACTTGTGGAAAAAGTGTTTAATTTAGAGGAATTACATTTTGTGACGCAATAGTTATTATATCATGTAAATAGGAGTAATATTCGGAAGTGAGAGGATTTGGTACTTTAGGAGGCACCAGATCCACAACTAGGTACCTGTTCCAACAAGACCTATAAAGGTCACACACAATTAAGTTCACTTATAATTGAGGTATAATTTACTATTAGAAAACCTTGTTTCCAATTTTATCTGTGGAACAAAAAATAATCAGACAAATAAAAGTTCTGTTGCTCTTCAACTATTTATTAACCATCTAACTTTGAGCAATAAAACACTTTCTGAGCCTGAAGTTTCCACATCTGTATCCTCGGGCTAATGATATCAACTTTCTGTGTTGTTGTAATGATTTGAAATAATTCAACAAATTACAAAATACTTTGTCTAGATTATAGTAATCACTCACTAAATGACAACATATAATATCAAGCATATTTTTATTTTTGTGTGAAACTATAAGACACCAGGCATTGTGCAAAATGTTAAATTGCAGGAATTTATTTAACGTTCTCAGTAATTCTGTGAGGCAGTCTCAATCGTTAATCTTAATTTTAAATATGAAGAATTTAAGGCTTAGAGATACTATGTTGTTCAGGGTCTCATGGTTAATACTAACTATGCAAATGGGTGTAAAACCAGTACTCTGTGACACAACACAAGAGCTCTTAACTGCTAGAATAAAGTCTATTTAAACATCCATCTATCTCTGTTAACTATTACATTATTTCCAACTCAGCATTATTCTCTGTTTTTAATGATGTGTAAAGTTATACCTTATAAACTTACTCTTGCTAATTCTAGGTCAGATGTATAGTGGTTATTACTCTACGTATCTGATCACAGGTGTCAGCTTTACATTTCAGCTTCTAAATCTACCTGTCTGATATGGAGTGGGCTAATTGGCATAATCCTGCAATAAAGCAGTTTAGTCAACTAAGAAATATTAATAATAATAATAATAATTATTATTATTATTTTTTGAGTTGGAGCCTTGCTCTCGCCCAGGCTGGAGTGCAGTGGCGCGATCTTGCCTCACTGCAAGCTCCGCCTCCCGCGTTCAGCCTCCTGAACTACTGGGCCTACAGGCGCCCGCCACCATGCCTGCCTAATTTTTTGTATTTTAGTAGAGACGGGGTTTCACTGTGTTAGCCAGGATGGTCTCGATCTCCTGACCTCGTGATCCGCCCGCCTCCGCCTCCCAAAGTGCTGGGATTACAGGCCTGAGCCACTGCGCCCAGCCAGAAATATTAATTCTTAAGTTGACTTTCTGTTCTTTGGAAAGATGTAAATATCAAAGAATGAAGACTTCTTAAATAAAGGAATTTAATAACTGGAACATTTTGCTTTATGCAGGATAAGAACAGATTGATGTTTGACAAACTCCTGAAGTGTTTTTGTATATCTCTTTTCGAAGACCTAAGATTTTGACTGGAATTGCCAGGATACTTCCTTACATATTTAAGTCTAGACAAGAAGCATTAAGGACAGGGATTCCATCCATCCTGAAGCAAGTGAACCCAACAGTAAAGTTGTAAGAACCATCCAGCTTGAAACATCTCTGACCACTTAATGATACCAGATGCTCTGCTGAAAAACTTTAAAATCTCTTGAGATGTTTTTGATTTCTGCTCTGGATATTTCTTGGAATAGAAATCTTGGACTACAATTTATATTCTGTATCTATCTCTACTGGCGCAATTACTCTAACTCATGACTCCAAGCTTGGATAATAGGGAATCCTTGGCAGGATAACTTCTGTGGCTAGCTTTTAAAAGCTTTTTTCCCATCTCTGATCCATGAGTCCCTTAATTGTTATCTTGAAGACATAATACAATATTTTTCACCTTTCCTTTTGACATAATCAAGTATTGGGATTTATTTGTATAAGTTATTTGTATTCCTGAGACATGCATAGTAATTTTGATCACTAATATGTACACATTATGTAATTTACCAAAAAATAATGACATGAAAATAACTTTTTCTCCTCTTAAGATGCTTATTATGACTCAAAAGGTCCCATGAGGCTTTATATTCTGTTAATCTTATTATGAAGAAAATTCCATAAAGATTTTAAGTCTGAAAACATTATTTTGGGTCTTGATATTTCCTCAGCCTGCTAGTGCATTTGCCATTTCCTTCAAAAAAAGCCCTTCTTGAGGGAGTCAAACTTGTTTAATTTCTATCAAAAGGTAAAATTTTATTTTGTAGATTTATCCTGCTGATTTCTTTCAGTAGATTCTTATTAATGACAAACGATTTTGCTAATATTTTCTACATTTAACTATATGCTATTTACTTGGAATCCAAATTACCAATATACTGCAAAATTTCTTACATGGTTTCAATAGTTGCATAAACATTTAAAAGAAAGGAGTCACATACAATTTATCTTTTTTTCATTATGGAACAGGGATGCAACCATGCTGCTCTAAATTGGTTTATATTATCAGCATATTACATAGGCTGCACATAAAAATAACTCAATTTGTACATGAAAATTCATAACATGAATAAAAAAGACACTGGGAAGTAAACTCTAATATTTAAGCTTTTTTGGTGTTTTAATCTTTGTTTGTGTTTTGTTTGGTTGGATGGTTGACATTTGTTCTTAATTTCTCCAGATTGTTAGTTTTCTTCATATCAAAAGATAATTATACTATCCAACTCATCTGGCTGATATAGCATTTTCTAATCTGTAATGAAGTAGGTAAATTCTTAAACAGAGGCAGAGCGATTGTCTGAGAATTCTGTCACTTTCTGCTCTTAGAATACTTTGTCTTCCTTACAACTTTGTGTGACTTCTGTAGGTAGGTTAATAAATGTATTGGTTTTCCTCAACTATTAAAGTAGGCAGAATATTAGGGATTTCTGAACACTACATAAAAATATTAAAATACGATTACATTCCTAAAAATAGCATATAAAATGTTGATTCTTTTAGAAACTTTCTTAAAATTGAAACTGGACAATGTAAGTCTTCCATTGTATTGACAAAAAACAACATTTGTGAAATATTTAATTTTATATAATTGTGCATCTTTTTTAATGGTATGCCTCTGTGATTTGGATTGAAGATGGATTAATCTATAGTCACTTCATAAAATTATAATAAGTGACATTTTGTTTTTGTGTCATTGTCTTTTCATAAGTAATAGATTTCTTCTAGATTTTGCTTAATGTAATATTGAGACTTCTACTCTCTTACACGTAACACACCCCACTACACATTTTTCCTTCAAAATATTAGCGAGCTTCCTGCAGTATGGAAATTTTAGTTTATAGGGATATAGAGAAAAGAAACAGCGTAAAAAGTACTTTCATGTTTCTTTTTTGAATGATCACAGATGTACTAGAAAATGCATTAAAACACAAAGCGCAATTATTTTTATTTTACAAAAGTGGCAGTTACAATATCTAGAAGACAAAACATCTTTTGTAGTTCTATAATTAAAAATATATAAGCTACATTAATAAAATTTACTTTCATTATTAAAAACAAAAAATGTAAGTCCACTTGCTGATTAAGGATACAGTTGCTGTAGTTGAATTTTGGAAAAATTTGGAGTAAACAGTAGACTCAGGCAGAGCTGAAACTAATAAATGCATACAACATATAGCATATACTATGGAATAACCTGAAGATTGATAGAAAACATTACCAATTGTTCTTTTTTTTTGAGATGGAGTCTTGCTCTGTTGCCCAGGCTGGAGTGTGGTGGCAGGATCTCGTCTCACTGCAGCCTCCATCTCCTGGGTTCAAGCGATTCTCCTGCCTCAGCCTCCCAAGTAGCTGGGACTACAGGCGCACGCCACCACGCCTGGCTAATTTTTTGAATTTTTAGTAGAGACAGGGTTTCACTGTGTTAGCCAAGATTGTCTCGATCTGACCTCGTGATCCGCCCGCTAGGCCTCCCAAAGTGCCGGGATTACAGGTGTGAACCACTGCACCAGGCTTCACCAATTGTTCTTAAGCATTGTGATAGAATTTACTTAAAATTCACTACGTGACTCATTTAGTTCATTCTTATGGCATTCAAATGGCATTCCACTTATGTAGACTGGACAACAATCATAGTTTGGTTTATATCTCGGAAGAAAAAAGTCGCAAGCAGCTGAAGCACCAAAGCAAGGAAGACTTGAATGCATAAAAGCAGAATAAGTGGAAAAATATGCAGGAATAATAAAAGCAGATATCTGATAATCAGGAAAACTGAGACCCCACCTCTCAATCTGCCTGGATCTCCTTTCCAAGCAATAAGCCCATTCCACAGCTGCTGTGAGTGTTGGCTGACAACTCTCAGCTGCTACTTTCTCTGCTTTATCACCCCCATATCCAGACCTTGGCCAATGGGTGATTGAAATATTTTGATTGAATTAATATATAATGTTAGGAAAAGTAACTTTCATTGTTTCCTCATCCATGTGTAAATACCTCTCAGCTACTGGTCGCCTAGACGTCATTATGACACAAGCACATTGCTAGATTTTTCAAACTATTTTTTGTAATAAAAATGATTCAAATCTTTCAAAAGATAGAATTAATTAGCAAAAGTATAATCTAAAGAATACCCTTCCTCATTAAAATTATAATAACCTAATAAAAGGTAAATTTACATTGCAAAAAATCTGTCCTTCCTTTCTTAGAATTATCTATTTATATAACTGCCTTATTTACATTTTAATACATTTCCTACTATATCTATGTTATATATACATGTCAACATATATATTATTTTCAGTAACTCTTACCTAATATTTAGGTAATCAATCTTATCTCAACTTCTGAACCCATAGTTGAGGATAGCACAACAGGAAAAAAATAAAGAATGCTTAATCAGGTTCCTACAGAGATTCAAAGACTTTTAAAAGTGGTTTTATTATATCTGTAAACAAAATGTTTTTATCTTAATATTTATAATTAAGGTACTTTAGTGTAGAGAACACTTTTTATTCATTTTTAAGCTTAAGCACTATAAAAAATAATTTGAGTTATGAATGAACCATACCTGAAACTAAGGAGATACTTGAACTACATTCCATTACTGTAGCCGTTATCTATTGCCTCAGTAATGTTGCATAATCTTTTTTTATTTTTATTTTTTTGAGACAAGGTCTCTCTCTGTTGCGCAGGCTGGAGTGCAGTAGCACAATCTCAGCTCACTGCAACTTCCAGCTCCCAGGTTCAAGAGATTCTCCCACCTCAGCCTTAAGAGTAGCTGAGACTGCAGGCGCTTGCCACCATACCAGCTGATTTTTTAAAATTGTTTTATAGAGATAGAGTTCTTCCATGTTGTCCAGGGTGGTCTCAAAATCCTGGGTTCAAGGGATCCACTCACCTCGTCCTCCCAAAGTGCTGCTATTACAGGTGTGAGCCATCGCACTCAGCCTAAAATTAAATCATTTTGATCGTGGTTGTATGTGTTGGTTTGATAATTCTGCTGACTTTAGCAGGGATGGATTGGGCTCATGTATGTGTCTATAGTCAGGGGCTCCTCAGTTAAAAGTTGGCTTTTAGCTGATCTTGGCCAAGCCTTCTGTAGTGTCTGGGCTTTCACTGCTACACGTGGCCTACTGGGCTCTGCTCATGATTCTAATAATGTAGATAAAGGGCAAGAGAGAGGAAATAGAAATGTATAAGCCTCTGCCCCCATCAAATGTGTGGCTATTCCACTGGCTAAAGCAATCATGTGCCCGAACCCAGGGTCACTGTGGAAGGGTCTGACCAAATGCTGTAAAATTGAAGGCCAATAATGCAGTCAATCCATTTCAATGGTCTGCCCTTCAGCTTAAACTCTCACTAATAAATTTTGCTCGCCACTATTTTCTCTTTCATGGTTACACTGGTGAGCTTAGAGCAAACAGGAAGACATTTTCTGAAGTTTGAAGGAAGAGAAATAACCTAGTATTAAATATCTAGTCTGGGAATATAGCATTATTATAGGGTCTTTATCTTCTCAGGAGGCAAGAGTCCAGTATATTTCTAAAAAAAAAGTACAATTATTTTAACTTGAGGCTCAAAAAACTTATGATGTGAATAAGTGTTTTCAACTCAATTAAATCCAAAATGTGTAAATCATGTACTGTATACCAGTTATAAAAGCCTATTTGCTAGACACATGGTATCAAAGTAAAAAGAATATTTCATAAATCAGTGCTCTTCAAAATTTAAAATGTACTTGAATCACCTAAAGGTTTTGTTAAAATTCTTATTCTGATTCATCAGGCCTTGTGGAACACATAAAATTGTTCATTTTTAAATAGCTGCTAGGTGATCCTAATATTCCTGGTGTGGAAGACCACTTTGAGTAGTAAGGTCACAGATTAGGCTTTTAAGAAAACAGAGCCTAATGCGGGAAATGAGAGAGAGACCTGTAAACAGATAAAGTACCCTGTGTACATGCAATAATAGCAATGTGTACAGAAAAGTAGAGCAGAAGGAAAAGTCTGGAACTTTGTATTGAATTAATCAATACATGAAGCTACCTAATACCATAACATATTAAGGGAAGTACAAGTACTTCTACATTGTCAGAGCATGATGAGAAAAGGTCAGGGAAGTTATTACAACTGAGGCTGTGCCATATCATGAATGTAGTTGATGGGAGACATCTACATAACTACAGACTTACAGAAGGCCATTAACTTGATATGCTGTTTAGCACTGCTATCCTTGTGACCATGTGAAAGAAGCAACAAAAAGAATGTAGACACTGAAACTACTCTAGAGATATTTTCAATAGCACCCTATGTTGACAGCCTAAATTAAAGTGGTGACAGGTAGGATGATGCTAATGTACTCAAGACATATTTAAAATATAGGAGCAAATCACATTAGTGATAGATTAGTTGAATAAAAAAGAAAAAGAAAAACTAAGTGGAAGAAACATATTAAGCCCCTCCCGTTAGATGTTACTATGGATGCAAGAGAATATATATGTGAAGGCCATTATTTCTCAAAGATAATGTTGAGAGAAAAGAATATAAATGATATCCTGGTCAAAAAGACTTATTTTCCAAGGAAAGTGGATGTTCTGTCTTAGAGAAGAAAGCAATTTAACACTTACTGGCAAAATCTGATTGTTATATATTCTTCTTTCCAATTCATCTTTTTGTTATGTTTTAGAGTAGTGTTTTACCAGATGGTCCATTTTTGGTGACTCTTTTTCTCAGATGTTTATCAATGCACCCTTTAGAGTTACTGATCAGCTCCGAACTATAGTCAATATTAGGTGCTTATGGCTATATCTGCATGATATTATTTTGAGAACCATTCCTTCCTCACTTGATAAATCTGTCAATCACATCATCTACATTGCTACAGGAGACCTTGCAGCTTTGGCTGACTCAGTCAGAGTTGTCATTGGGTTACTGGTGCTATCAGAAAACATCCACTATCTTCCCTAGGATCACAAGTCATAAGGAGGATGTGAGCTTAGAGTCGCAACAACCTTTTTGAAATAGCCCTAATCATAGGAAAGAGAAGAATGGACGGAGCTGGAGTCCTAATAACATCCTCCATGTCTCTGGATTCATCCCTGCTTAAAGCCATGTCTACCTTAGACTGTAGCTACATAATCCCATATCTCCTTTAATAATGTTTAATCCATTTCAAGGCAACTTTTGTTTCTCATCAATAAAAGAATTTGGGCTAACTTGACTCCTACAAAAAATTAATAAAATTATCTATTTTTTCAGTTTCAGTGAAGTCAAATTATCAATCTTTCCAGTTTCAGTTTTACTTGTTCTTAGGCACATGAAACTATCACTCTGTATAATTATGTGGGTCATGCTAGGCATATATACAGCTACAGGTAAATTGCCAGAAATAAATACAAATAAAATCACAACACTCCACTTTTTGCTAAGGACTGATGTCTTTGTTACATACCTTTTTTTTTTTAATAGTTTCAGGAACATTTTTACGTGGAAGTAAAAGAAGTACCATAGAGGGACTTAATTTTTTTTCATGAAAGAAACTGACTTTAGTATGATAAAGAGGCCAGATCTTTCACAGAAATCAATAGGTGTTTTTTAAGGGCCATTATAATATTTCCAAAACCAAATATATAAACAAACTCAACACCATGGGAAGAAACAACAATCATCAGAAGAGATTGAACGTAGTCCATTAGCAGTTTCTACCTGCCTAAGGACAAATGAAAGTTAGCATAATTAAAGTGCAAGGAGGCTCAACATGAAGAGGAGCGTGAGGAGGAAGGAAAGAACACTGAGTAAAAATTCCACAATTTTAATCAGTTGCTCATTTAGTCATCACCTGAACATAAATTCTGTGAACACCCTTAGAGGTTATTCATTCATTTAAGCTAATATTTGAAAATATTTTTAAGTCATATAATTAAGAAATAAATTACATTGTTAAAGAGATGCCATATTATCTGAAGATAATCTCATAGAAATTGTTATTCTTTATTGGAAACAGAAATATTACATTTTCAAATTTTGCCAACTTCTCAGCTCAGCTATTTTAAACACAAACTAGTGATATTTTGAAAATACATAGGCCCCAAATTTTGTATTTGAACAAGGTATGTATGTTATGACCTCTAAAGGCCAAAGGCATAACTTAATTTTAGTTGAAAACAAACTCCGGAAGAGGCAAATAATTCAAATGACTTCTCGGGAGCATTTTTCTTCAATAAAAAAAGCTATTTTAAAGAGAAAATTCCTAGTAGTCTAGATAATGAGTATAGATTTAAGTGCCTATTTTTTTTCTGAGACAGCCACAAATGTATTAGGCAATTTGCTTTCAGAAATTATTCAACAAATATATAAAGATTAGTTTCCAAATTTTAAAAAGTTATTCTTTTCCAGATGAGACTGATTTAAAAACAAAAACAATATATCTTGCCTATTCCTATACAATCTTTTACATTTGAATTCATTCACCTAAGTATTGCGATTGAAATAAATTAATTTTAAATAATCACTAAAAAGAGCTTTCTATTTACTCGGTCAGTGTATATGCATTATGAGGTTATGCCCTTGAGACAACGGAAGCAGAAACGCAGGCAAACATAATCACTTATTCATCTCATCGAAGTGAAATAATTCTTAGATGATATTAATGTGTTTGTTGCTCTCCTATTCTCAATTTCTCCCATTAGAATCTTGTAAGCAAATTTTACTGATGCCTGGATAGTCATATTACTGTTGTTTTATGATTCTCAGTCTAACTATTTATTCATAGACCCACCAATTTATTCCATAAATTACTGTGCCTTCATCGTGGGCAAGGCAATATGCTAGGCATTCAGAAGCACGGAAAGCTGAATAATTTACAGTTTCAACTTTCAGTGAGCTTACAAGCAATGAGTATAGAAAAGCTCCATGCAAAATATCTGTAACATAAGGTAATAATGTTGTGAAGACAAGTAGATCCCTGTTACCATGTGAGACCAAGTAAAATTTGAAGAAGGTGACATTTAAACTTTACTTTGAAATATAAATGATATTTGAACAAATAGAGACAGAGGAAGACAAATCAGATGAAAGGGATGCCATGTAAAAATACATAAAAGCTAAAAAGTGCAGAACATGTTGGGTGAATAGGTAGACTAAGGAGCAGTACATGAAGGGGAAGAAGAGAGACAAAGCTAAAAGGATACACCGTGACCAGATTATAGCAGGTTTTGAATGCCAGCCTATGAATAACCACCTTGCATTGTAGAAATTTAAGAGCTATTAAAAATGTTTCATTAGCCAGGTGTGGTGGTGCATGCTTGTATTCCTAGCTACTCAGGAGGCTCAGGTGGGAGGATCACTTGAACCCAGGAGTTTGGGGCTTCAGTGAGCTATGATTGCACCACTGCACTCCAGCCCAGGCAACAGAGTGATACCTTGTCTAAAAAAAAAAAAAAAGAAAAAAAGGTTTGAAAAAAGTCATGCTAAGGTCAAGCTGTGGTTTTGTTATTAAGTTATTGGATGGATTATGTGGCCTTAAACTTGGAATCAGGGAAAATAGGCTCTTAAAAAAGTCTTAGCAAGAAAAATGTTAAATTAGGATAGTCACAGTGAAAATGTAAAGGAGAAGGCATATGATAAAAACGTGGTGGACATAAAATCAGTATATTCTGGAGACTGGGTGGAAATTGAGGAAGCAAAGACAAGAGAGACAAAAATGCTTAGGTTTGATATTGTAATCCTAGGTGGCTGGAAATGGTAATTAGTACTCATATGAATTTAAATAGAGATATATCAGGATGCAATAAGTCATACGTAAAAACTAGTGTTAAGTTTTTTATCTAAAAGATTTGATTTGAGGGAAATAAACAATCTATTGCAGAAAATCAGTCCTGGCTGATTATCACAGTTATCAAAGGAGGTTAAAAGCCAAACTAAACAAACTTACAAAAAGTTTCTAGGTTCTATCCTCAGGAATTTTGATTCAATCTGTCTAGATAACATCACATATAATTTTTAATTTAAAAAAATTCTGAAAATCAACCATGTTTAGAATTACAGCTTTATAAAATACTGTGCATAAAATGATTAAATAATAATAGACCTTAGACCATTCCCTTCTTCTGGGAGGAGGTAATTTAGAAACTGGGACAATTTATTTTCAGCTTAGAATCTAATCAGAAAGAAACTGCCACCTCCAAAATGGAATCTAAAATATTGTTTCCCATTTCAACAGAACAGTTGGAGTCTTACTTATTACAGACAGTGAACATAAACAAATGGCTCTTACTAGAGAGGCAGAAATGCAAAGTACTATGCAGGTGTTTTCTTGATAATTATTATAGAAAAAGAACACTTTGCAGGGCATTTTGGAGAAAATCAAAGACTTCTTCCAAAATCAACTAATAATTATTTTGCCTGAAAAACTAAAAAGAAAGGTATATATTAGAAACACAGCAAGAGAAACAAAATTAAGGAAACAGGAAAGTTGAACAAATAATTATTCACTTACAGCAAATTAAAATGAAAAGTTACCCAAAAGGCAAAACTGTAGGTAAGTACAGGACCAAGCAAAGTTTTATAGGGGTTTAGTATTATCAATGGATTTTGAATTACCAATTAGGTATAGAAATCCAGCTATCTCCAAGAAATCACTTTGAGTAGAGTGGCTAATATTAGGTACTCAATAAAATACGTGTTGAATGTATGCAGATCAAAACCAATGTTATAACAGTGGAGAGAATAAATGGGTCATAAGAAAGTGATAATTCTGGCCGGGCGTGGTGGCTCATGCCTGTGATCCCAGCACTTTGGGAGGCCGAGGTGAGCAGATCACGAGGTCAGGAGATGGAGACCATCCTGGCTAACACGGTGAAACCCCGTCTCTACTAAAAATACACAAAAATTACCTGGGCGTGGTGGTGGGCGCCTGTAGTCCCAGCTACCTGGGAGGCTGAGGCAGGAGAATGGTGTGAATCCGGGAGGCAGAGCTTGCAGTGAGCCAAGATAGCGCCACTGCATTCCAGCCTGGGCCACAGAGCGAGACTCCATCTTAAAAAAATAAAAAAAAAACAAAAACAATAAAAAGAAAGTGATGATTCTGAGTCCATATTACTATTTAATTAAGATTGTCATTTTTTTAAAAAAAGATAAATTTACTTAGGAGGGATTTTTAGTTTTAAAGATGCAGGCATACCTTGTTTTACTGTCCTTCATCTTATTGAGCTTTGAAGATTTTTTTTGTTTGTATGGTTTTTTTTTGTTTGTATTTTTTTTGTTTTAGTTTTTTTGTTTTTTTTTGTTTTTTTTTGAGACAGAGTCTCGCTGAATTGCCCAGGCTGGAGTGCAATGGCACAATCTCAACTCACTGCAACCTCCACCTCCCAGGTTCAATTTGTTCCCCTATCTCAGCCTCCCGAGTAGCTGGGATTACAGGTATCCACCATCATGCCCAGCTAATTTTTGTATTTTTGTAGAGACAGGATTTCACCACATTGGCCAGGCTCGTTTTGAACTCCTGACCTCGGGTGATCTGCCCGCCTCAGCCTCCCAAAGTGCTGGGATTACAGGCATGAGCCATTGCACCTGGCCCTGAAGATATTGAATTTTAAATAAATTGCAGGTCTGTGGCAGTCCTGAGTCAAGCAAATGTGTGGGGGCCGTTTTCCAATATGTGCTCACTTCATATCTCTTTGTCACAGTGGGTAATTCTTGCAAATATTTCAGATTGTTCAATATGATGTCTCTAATGGTGATCTGTGATCAGTGATCTTTGATGTTACTATTGTAATTGTTTTAGAGTGCCATGAACTACACCAGTATAAGACAACAAACTTAATTGAGAAATGCTATGTATGTTCTGACTTATCCAATGACCTGCCATTCCCCTGTCTCTCCACCTCTTCTCAGGCTTCCCTATCTCATGAGACACAGTAATATTAAAATTAGGCCAATTAATAACCCTATAGTGACATCTAAGTGTTTAAGTGAAAGGAAGAGTTACACATGTCTCACTTTAAATCAAAAGGTAGAAATGTTTAAGCTTAGTGAGGAAGGCATGTCAAGAGCTGAGATAGGCATAAAGGTAGGTCTGTTGTGCCAAACAGCTTACCAAACTGTGAATACAAGGGAAGAGTTCTACAAGGAAATTAAAAGTGCTACTTCAGTGAAGACACAAATAGTAAGAAAATGAAACAGCCTTACTGCTGATATGGAGTAAGTTTGAGTAGTCTGGATAGAAGATCAAACCAGCCATGACATTTCCTTAAGCCAAAGTCTAATACAGAGCAAAGCCCTAACTCTCTTCAATTCCATAAAGGCTGAGAGACATAGAGAAGCTGCAGAAGAAAAGTTTGAAGCTACCAGAGGTTGGTTCATGGGGGCTAAGGAAAGAAGCCATCTCCACAACATAAAAATGCAAGATGAAGCAGCAAGTGCTGACTGAGGAGCTATAGAAAGCTATCCAGAAGATCTAGCTAAGATCACTGATGAAAATGACTACCCCAAACAATGGATTTTTAAGTGCAGATGAAACAGTCTTTATAGGAAGAAGATGCCATCAAGAACTTTTATAGCTAGAGAAGAGAAGTCAATGCTTAGCTTCAAAGCTTCAAAGGACAGACTGGTTCTCTTTTTGGCGAGCTAATGCAGCTATTGACTTTAACTTGAAGCCAGTGCTCATTTACCATTCTGAAAAATCTTAAGAGTCTTTAAGAATTATGCTAAATCTACTCTCTTTATTGCTCAGTAAATTGAAAAATTAAACCTGGATTAAAAGACATCTGTTTACAGTATGATGTACTGAATACTTTAAGCCTACTGTTGAGATTTAAGCTCAGAAAAAAAGATATTTAAAAAATTATTACTGTTTTAAAAATATTACTGCACATTGACAATGTACTTGAACACCCAAGAGCTCTGATGGAGATGTATAAAAAGATTAATGCTGTTTTCATGCCTCCTACATAATTTTCATTCTGCAGCTCAAGGATCAAAAAGTAATTTTGACTTTCAAGACTTATTATTAAAGAAATACATTTTGTAAGGCTATAGCTGCCCTAGATAGTGATTCCTCTGATGGATCTTGGAAAAGTATTCTGAAAATAATTCGCCATTCTAAATGCCATTAAGAGCATTCATGATTGGCCAGGCATGGTGGTGCACACTTGTAATCCCAGCACTTTGGGAGGTCAAGGTGGATGGATTGTTTGAGCCCAGGAGTTCGAGACCAGCCTGGCCAACATGGTGAAACACCATTTCTACTAAAAACACACAAAAAATTAGCCACGTGTGGTGGTGCATGCCTGTAATTCTAGCTACTTGGGAGGCTGAGGCACAGGAGTAGCTTGTACTTGAGAGGTGGAGGTTGCAATGAGCCAAGATTGTGCCACTGCACTCCAGCCTGGGCAACAGAGCGAGACTCAGTCTCAACAACAACAACAACAACAACAACAAACAACAAAAAAACAAAAAAAGCATTCATGATTCATGGGAGGAGGTCAAAATATCAACATTAATAGGAGTTTAGAAGTTGATTCCAATGCTCATGAATGCCTGAGGGATTCATGACTTTAGTGTTCATAACTTTAGTGGAAGATATAATCACAGATGTGGTAGAAATAGCAGGAGAACTAGAATTAGAAGTGGAGCTTGAAGATGTGACTGAATTGCTGCAATCTCATGATAAAAGTTTAATGCATGAGAAATTACTTCTTACAAATGAATAAAAAGTAGTTTCTTGAAGTCTACTCATGATGAATATGTTGTGAACATTATTGAAATAACAAAGGATTTAGAATATTACGTAAACTTAGTTGATAAAGCAGCAGGAGGATTTGAAAGGATTTGCTCCAGTTTTGAAAGAAGTTCTATGCATAAAATTCTATCAAACAGTATCACATGCTACAGAGAAAGTTTTTCTGAAAGAGTCAATTGATGTGGCAAACTACAGTGTCTTATTTTATGAAATTTCCATGGCCTTCCCAACTTTTAGCAACCAGTACCCTATCAGTCAGCAGCCATTAACATCAAGGAAAGACCCTCCACCAGCAAAAAGATTATGACTCACTAAAGGCTCAGATGATTGTTAGTATTTTTTAGCAATAAAATATTTTTAAAGTATGTACATTGTTTTTTAGACATAAAGCTATTGCATACTTGACCATAGTATAGTAAAAATGTAATTTTAAATGTATTAGAAGGCCAAAAAAATTGGTGTGAATTGCTTTATTGCAATATTTGCTTTATTGTGGTGGCTGAAAACTGAACCTGCAGCATTTCTGAGGTATACTTGTGATATACTTTGGATGTTTCTCCTCTCCAAATCTCATGTTGAAATGGAATCCCTAATGTTGAATACAGGGCCTGGTAAGAGTTGTTTGGTTCATGGGGGTAGGTCACTCATGAATAGCTTGGTGTCCCTTTTCATTGTAATATGTTTATGTAAGAGCTGGTTGTTAAAAAAGACTCTGCAACCAACTTCCCTCTGTCTCTCTTGCTTCCTGAGGCCTTGCCAGAAGCTTGATAGATGCTGGGTGCTATGCTTGTACAGCCTGCAAAACCATAAGCCAAATAAACATTTTTTCTTTAAAAATCACCCAGTCTCAGATATTCCTTTAATGCAATGAAAATCAGACTAATACAGAAAATTGGTACCAAGGAATGGGATGTTGCTATAAAGATACCTAAAATGTGGAAATGGCTTTGGAACTGGGTAATACACAGAGGCCGGAAGAATTTGGAGGGCTCAGAAGAAGACAGGGAGACAAGGGAAAGTTTGGAATTTCTTACAGACGGGTTAAGTGTTTGTAACCAAAATGCTGAAAGAAATACGGACAATGAAGGCCACATTGCCAAAGCTTCAGATAAAAATGAGAAATTTATTGGGAACTAGAGCAAAGATCACTCTTGTCACCCCCTAGCAAAGAAACTGGCTGCACTGTGTCCATGTCCTAGGACTTCATGGAAGGCTGAACTTAAGACTGATGACTTAAAGTATCTGGCCAAAAAAAAAAAAAAAAAGAAGCAGTCTTCAAGAGGTGGCCTGGCTCCTTCTAACATTCTGAGCTCAGATGAAAGAGCAAAGGAATGACTTAAAGTTGAAATTATAATTAAAAGGAAAAGAGAGCATAGACATTTGGAAAATGCACAACCTGGCCAACTGACACAGAAAAACAAGAGCATTTTCAGGGGAAGAATCCACCAAGAGGGCTGTCTATATTTATTACTCCACAACGAAGAATAGAGCATACCAAGGAAGATAGACAAATGATAACAATGACCCAAGTATCTAGAGTTTTGTCACTTCCAATGATGGCAGATGTGGAAAGTCACATGATTTTTCTTATTGGGTAACCAGAAAAATTTGAAAATATTTGCTTCATTTGTTATCAAAGCCTTGGGGATGCAATAAACTAATGAAGAAAGATTTGATGAAAATGTTAGAGGAGAAAAACAAAGAAAAATTCACTAGATTTCTGGGGCCACTTTTCACTTGGGGGTGTTAGCCAGTATAAGAAGAAACAGGCAGGAGCCTGAAGGCCTACATAGGAAATTTGAAAGTATCCCAGTTCCAGTGTGATCAAGATACAAGATTGGAACATACAAGGAAGCAAAGGTAGGAAGTTGATGTGCAAACTCTTCAAATTTTCAATTCGGATGACTAGAAGCTCCACTCTGATGTTGAGCAAAGATGACCCAAGATTTCTAGTATCCCTTTCTAGCCAAAAGCAATCTCTTCTGGGAAAAAAAATGGGATTATCTTATGCCTAGAATATTTTAACTAACTTTCAAATGGAAATTCTGGCATACAATATAAAATAACCGGGTACATGAAAAGAGATGTCAACATACAAGAGAAACAGAAAAAAAAACACCAATAAAAATTAACAACAGACCTAGAGGGGCCTGAAATATCAGGACTTTCTACTAGACTTTATAACTGCTAAGTGTCTATTTTTCAAGGTCATAAAAACAAGATTAAGTATTTAGCAAAAAATAGAAATTACAGAAAACCACAGCATAGACAATTTATATAAAAACAAAATTTTGAAATAAAATAATTTTCATTAAAATGAAATGGTTGTATTTAACAGGAAGTGAGAAACAAACGAGGCAAGAGTTAATAAACTAGAATTTAGGTCAGAACAAAATATTCAGAAAGAAGTACAGAGAGAAAAAGCAGTAAATAATACAGACAAGAAAGTGAGAAACCTACATTATACAATGAGGTGCTCAAATATACATTTATCCTGAACCAGAGGAGAGATAGAATGAGACAGAAACAACATTTGAAGAGATAATAGCTAAAAATTCCTCAACAGTGATGAAAGACACAATTACATCATGACAATACAAAAAAGCCTATGCAGATACATTATAGTAATACTGGTAAAATCAAAGATAAAGAGACACTTTTTAGGGCAGGCAGACAAAAACATATTGTTTAAGCAATAAAAATTAGAGTAGTACTTGGTTTTTAAATAAACAATGGAAGTCAGAAGTCAATGGGAGGATTCAATTATAACCAAAATAGCAATGCAAAAGTAATAAGATGCTATTTTTAGTAAATGGTACTAGATCAGTTCAAAATTCATTTGGACAAAGTGAAACTTGATCCCTCACCTCACACCATAAACAAAAGTCAATTCCAGGAATTTTGTAAATCTAAATAAAAAAGGCAAAGCAAAATGCTTCTGGAAGATAAGACATGATAATATCATCATGCAATTATGGTTGAGAATAATTCCTAAAACTAAATAAAGCACTAAAAATCAAGAAAATTATTATGAATTCAGTTATGTTAAATTAAGGTTTTCTTTACATCAGAAGGCAGTATTAATAAAGTGGAATGAACAAAATTAAGAAAGTGGGAAAAGATGGCCAGGCATGGTGCCTCAGACTTGTAATCCCAGCACTTTGGAAGGTCAAGGTGGGCAGATCATTTGCACTTAGGAGTTTAAGACCAGCCTGGGCAACATGGCAAAACCCCATTTCTACTAAAAATAAAAAAATTAGCTGGGTGTGGGAGGGTGTACCTGTAATCCCAGCTACTCGGGAGGCTGAGGCCCAAGAATTACTTGAACCTGGGAGGTGGCATTGCACTGAGCCAAGATCATGCCACTGCATTCCAGCCTGGGTGACACAGCGAGACTCTTTCTCCAGAAACAAACAAGCAAACAAAAAGTGGAAAAAGATATCTGTAGTGCATGCTGGCCAAAATACCATGTATCCAAAGTATATATCAGTAACTCCAGCAAACCAATACAAAAGACACAACTCAGTAGAAAATATGGACAAATAAACTGAGTATTTATTTTAAGAAAGAATATCCAAAAAATCATAAGTTCATAAAAACCTGTCTAATCTTGTTTTGGTAAATGAAAACTAAAATCACAAATAGATAACACTACATACCAATATGAATAGCTAGAATGAATAAGACTGATGATGCCAGATATTGATGACAATGTGAAGCAACTGAAATTCACATAATTCTGGTTGCCCATATGCTAGGTCACAAGGCAAGTCAATAAATTTTTAAAAATCGAAATAATATCAAGCATCTTCTCAGACCACAGTGGAATAAAACCAGAAATCAATACAAAGAGGAGCTCTCAAAACTATACAAATAAAAAACTTGCTTCTGAATGATCTTTAGATAAATGATTAAATTATGACAGAAATTTAAAAGTTTTTTGAAAGAATGAAAATACAGGCACAACATACCAAAACCTCTGGGATACAGCAAAAGCAGTGCTGAGAGGGAGGTTTATAGCAATAAATGACCACATTAAAAAGATAGATCAGGCCGGGTGCAGCTCATGTCTGTAATCCTAGCACTTTGGGAGGCCGGGGCAGGCAGATCACTTGAGGTCAGGAGTTTGAGAGCAGCCTGGCCAACATGGTGAAACCCCATCTCTACTAAAAATGTAAAAATCAGCCATGCATGGTGGCGCATGCTGGTAGTCCCAGGTACTTGGGTAGCTGAGGCATGAGAATTGCTTTAACCTAGAAGGCAGAGGTGGCAGTGTGCCTAAATCGTGCCACTGCACTCCAGTCTGGGTGACCAAATGAAAAAAAAAAAAAACAAAAAAACTCAAATTAACAACTTAACATTGTACCTTAAGGAACCAGAAAAGCAAGAAGAAACCAAACCCAAAGGTAGCAGAAGAAAAAAAAAATTACAAATATCAGTACAGAACTAAACAGAATTGTGACCAAAAATATATATATAAAAGATCAACAAAATGAGAAATTATTGCTTTGAAAAGATAAATAAAATTGGTAGACTGCCAGCTACATTAACCAAGAAAAACTGAGAAGATTCAAATAAGCACAATCAGAATTGATAAAGGTGACATTACAACTGATATCTCAGAAGTACAGAGACTACTACTATAAGCATCTCTATGTACACAGACTAGAAAACCTGGAGGAAATGTATACATTCCTGGAAACGTACAACCTCCCAATATTGGACCAAGAGGAAATAAAAAAATCACAAACAGACTAATAACAAGTAGTGAAATTGAATCTGTCATAAAAAAATCACTCCAAAAAAACATGCAGGAACAGACAAATTTAGAACTGAATTATGCTGGACATACAAAGAATAATTGTTACCAATCCTACTGAAACTGTTCCAAAAAATCAAGGAGAATCCTTCCTTCCTAACTCATTCTACAAAGCCAGGGTCACCCTGTTTTCAAAGACAGATAAGAATACAACAACAAAAAATAAAGCTACAGGCCAATGAAGCTGATGAATATAGATGCAAAACTCCTTTACAAAATATTAGCAAGCCCAATTCAACAGCATATCAAACATATAAGACACCACAATTAAGTGGGTTTTATTCCAGAGATGCAAGGATGGTTCAACATACACAAATCAATGTGATTCACCACATAAACAGGATTACAAACCATATAGTTATCTCAATAGATTCAGAAAAAACATTCAATAAAATTCACCACCCCTTCATGATAAAAACCCTCAACAAACAAGGTATCAAAGGAACATACCTGAAAATAATACAAGCCATATATTACAGATCCACAGGATGAAATTAAAATCTTCCTCCTAGGAACTGGAACAAGACAAGGAAGCCCACTTTCACCATTCCTATTCTACATGGTTCTGGTAGTCCTAGCTAAAACAATCAGGCAAGAGAAATAAATAAATGGAATCCAAATTGAAAAAAAAGGAAGTCAAATAGTCTTATATGAAGAAAACCTTAAACACTTCTCCCAAAGGACTCCTAGAATTGATGAATGACTTTGGCAAAGTTTCAGGATACTAAATAAAAAGGCAAAAAATTAGTAGCGTTTCTATACACCAATATTGATCAAAGTAAGAACCAAATCAGAACGCAATCCCATTTATATTAGCTACAAAAATATAAAATACCTAGGAATACATTTAATCAAGTAGGTGAAGATCTCTATAAGGAAAACTACAAAATGCTTATGAAAGATATTGTACCTAACACAAACAAATGGAAAAATACCTTTCTCATGAAAGAATCAATATCATTAAAATGATTATACTGCCCAAAGAAATCTACAGATTGAACAAAATCCCAATTATGTTATCAATGTCATTTTTTACAGAATTAGAAAAGAGCAATGCTAAAATTTATGTGGAACCAAAAAAGAGCCCAAATAGCCAAAGCAATCCTAAGCAAAAAGTAAAAAGCTTCAAGTATCACACTACCTGACTTCAAATTACACTAAAAGGATATAGTAGTCAAAACAGCATTATATTGGTATACAAAATAGACATACAGATTGATGGAACAGAATAGAGAACCTAGAAAAAGCCACATACCTACAGCCAACTAACCTTTGACAAAGTCAACAAAAATATACACTGGGGAAAGGACACCCTATTCAATAAATGGTGCTGGAAAAACTGGATAGCCTTATGCAGAAGAATGAAACTGGACCCCTATCTCTTACCTTATACAAAAATTAACAAGGTGAATTAAAGACTTACACATAAGACCTGAAACTATAAAAATCCTAGAAGGAAACCCAGGAAAATCTCTTCTGGACGTTGACCTAAGCAAAGAATTTATGTCCAAGTACTCAGAAGCAAATGCAACAAAAACAAAATACTAAAAAGCACAGCAAAAGCAACAATCAACAGAGTAAACAGAAAACCTACAGAATGGGAAAAAATATTTGCAAACTATGCATCTGACAAAGGGCTGATATCCAGAATCTACAAATAATTCAAACAACTCAACAAGAAAACACCTGGTATATTTTATAAAATGATATTTTTACCACACAGAGTTTAGATATTTCTGTAATTAAAATCCTTCAGTCTTGTAATGTTGAGCATAAAATAATACTTTCTTAATTCGTCTCTTAATTTTCTAATTCCTGCTTAACTTTCTGGTTTTATACCACATGGTTTGCAGTTCCCAGAACTGTTCATATTCCTTCACATTTTGATAATTTGCTCTTTTCTATCTACACCTTTGGCATCCACTTACCAACGCTTTTACCTAACCCCAGTTTAGTTGTCACTTTGAAGAACACTAGTAAGGTCCTACATCCAGACTGGGTAAGGTTTTCTATCCTATGTGCTCCTTGATATGATGTGAGCACCCATGTACAGCTTATATTGATCTATATACCTATCTGTGCATCTTATCTGTTTTAAACATTGTGAGACCTTGTGCTTTTTATCCTTCAAGTCTTGTTAAAATGCCTGGTGCTCATTCAATATTGAAAAACAAAATAAAAGAGAAAAGAAAAAAACTGGTGATGGAAAAGGGGAGGAAGGAAAAACAAAGCAGTGGTTATTAGGAACTTTGATGATAATGTCTAATTATCCAAAACAGATAACTGTGGATAGTATGTAGAGAATTGTGACCCTTAATTTGCTTTCTTTATAGTAGTGGATGACAGCTACTGCTAAAAGAAACTACATGGACTTAGCGATTTTAAGATTTGCTTCCCTTCTCACCCCCTTTTCACAATCAGGCTCCAACACTTCCTACCTAGGACAAGTTATTTAATCCTTTGTGCATCACCTTTCTCATGTAAAATTCTCACCTTAATAGGGCGTAACATACAAGATTGTTATGAACTTTTAATCAGTATTTATAAGTTGCTTAGAAGGGAGTTTGGCACAGGGGAAATCTTATATGGGTTCAATAAATAAATATAGAAATTGACATTAGAGTCTTACTATATAATTTATAGGGTGTTTCTTTAGAAATATTTATTTGTGTGTGTGTTTGTTGAAGACCCTATAATTAACTACAACATTTTTTACCACTGAGAAATACATTTTTAATATAAAAGTTTTAGATTTTATAGTAGGTAAAATTAACACATAAGATATTTAACATTAAACAATTTAAATCAATGTTTTGACCATTTTTAATGTTAATTTTTTGAACACAGAGAAATACTTGATTCCAAAATTAATGACTTTGATAAACATCTCCTTTGCACATAGAATTATGAAGAAAATACTATTTCATTCTGTTCTCTTGTTATCCATTCAAATTTTGCCTTGTAATTGCAGATATTTTTGCAATTGTCTCTATTACCAACATAATAGGCTAAAAATTATAAACTAAAATATTTTATATTCATATCCTCATTTCAATTGAACTTAAGTGCAAGAGTTTCAAGAAGTTTTTATAAGCCTGAGCTCCCATTTCTATGAAGAATATGTTTCACAGTGTATGCTTTTCAGCTTTGTTTGATGTCATTTCTAGTTATAATGGTTCTATAAAAGCTTAGATATGCCCATTTAATGGGGTCGTTATACTATGCATTTTAGTAGGTCTGGTACTGGCACAATTACTGAGGAAACTAGAAAGAAGACTTGTACAATTTTCCCATAGGCCTCAGGAAGTTATTGCTCTTGATGTTGGAAGCATGTATTTAAATCAGAATAGCAAAAGTCGAATAAATGATTCTAAGCATGTTTTTGAACTGTCTACCAGTGCAGCTACATAAATCACTTTGGGCCCATAGGCAGAGGATACAAAAGGATTTAACTTCAGATAGAAAGGAAAACCGTCTGAAGACAAGGAAGAATTTTAATTAAACTGAAAATGTGAATCAAAGCATTAACACTGTTCTGCTATGGATGCTGATTGCCGTAAGACACATCATGCCTCAGATGATAGTAAAATTCAGAAAGTATAGTAGAACTTTATGGCATAAGAAATTTTCTCTGGCCATATGTGATGTCGAATTTCTTTGTCTTTTTTGATAACTGCATTGGTGGGAACATTTATAATTGAGAATAAAAACTTTCTGAAAAGTGCTTTTATCTTGTCTTTGCAAAGTTCCACAATTTAATGGATGTGGACAAAAATTATAATAAAAATGACAGCTAAAATAACAACAAATATGGAGAAAAAGAGAATCATTTCTATTGATTATTTAGGTGGTTTGTCCTACTCACATGCTTTTAGTTTTTGGATCAATTTATAGTAAAAATATCAGTATAGATTTTAAATTATTACTGCATATTAATATTATATATTTTGAGTGTAAATATGTATTAATTTATCAATATGACATATTTAATATAAATATAACTAATTATATTAATATATGATTAGTTTGTTATATTAAAGTGTCTAATTTTTAAAATTATAATCTTATAAGTAGTTTTTTCCTTAGAGATTTCAATATTGTAAATTATGAATACTTACTGATTTATTTAAATAAGTGTCAAAAGATGGATTTTTAGTGGAGCTAAAGATGGAGAAACAATGTGAGGAAGAATGTGCACTCTAATAAAAGAGAAATGAAGTGGTAGAATAAAGAGACAAGAAGTAACAAGAGCACAAAAAGAATGAATAAAGAAGTTTAGGAAAAAGTAGCAGAGAAGTCAAAGTAACTGAGAAGGCAGATTAAAACATGGAGGGAAATATTAGAAATGTTTTTGTCATTGATTAGGTCTTGAGAATAGTAAACATCTATTATTTCCAAAATTCAATTAGTATCATAAAAATGTTTACAGTTGATGTGCCCATTAATTGATATTTAAAGTCCATCCCCTCGTCAGGCCCCAATCCTTTCCCTCTTACAGCATGAAAATGGTGGAGATGTTTTGTCACTAGATATTGGAGAAATTCATTAGTCATGTTTCTTGTTTCAGTAAAATTCATAGTATCATATTACCTAATCTCACTTGAATATTTTGCGCTAAACAGTGCTTTTTATTCATATGTAAATAAATCTCAGTACATAAATACATTCCCAAACATTTCTTAATTGCAGGTTTTTCACTTTTCTGAAGACCCTACAGCCATTCTGTCTCATTATTAGAGTGAGTTAACTGCCTCCAAATTTACAAATAATAAAACAAGTTAATTAAAACTTTAAAAATGTTACTATCCATATCTTTCAAAATTTCTCTGAACATTTTCCATGATTTGTCCATGATTTCTAATTTCCAAGGATACACCGTCATTCTTTTTCCAATTTAACGTCCTCCTCTCCTCCCCAACAATGGCACCTCTTCCAGTCTATTCTTCATCTCATCCAGCATTCCTTCTGAACTATTCCATTGATCACTTCTTCCATTCTTTCATCTTATAATTACTCATTTTCTTTTTTTCTTGGCCCTCAAAACTTCACACTTTTTTATTATTTTAATTGACACATAATTGTACATACATATTTATGGATACAGTGTGATATTTTGATACATGTATACAATGTATAATGATCAAATCGGGATAATTCACATATCTATCACCTCACAATTGGTCATTTTCTATTTATTCCTCAGTGGCTCTTTGGTAAGATCTTCAAACATAAGCAGTTGTAAAATATATTAAAGCTTTTTTCTTTAATTGTGATACCTGATCAAGCTCCCATACTGTCTTTAAGAGTGGTTACAAAATTATTTCCATATCTTTATGTTTTAGCAGTGAGATAATTGAAATTACACTTCTATACTACCTTGACTTTATTATTACATTAAAAGTCAGGAACGAACTCCCCCATTGTTACAGTTTAACCAATGCTCCTAATTCTCCTGCTTGACCTTTGTGGTGTTGATATTACTGTCTAGCCCATTCCTGTTGACATTTCTCCCTAAAATTCAAATGAGATAATTTATTTTTCTTTTCCTCTCTGATGACTCTTTTTCATTCTTTCACTGATTCACTATCTTCTCACATTATCTTACTATAGGCACAGGCTAATGTCCTGTTTTCAGTTTCACTGATTTTCTGCTCCTGTCTTTAGTTATTTCCTTCCTTCTGTTTGTTTGGGTTCATTTTTATTTTTTTCTATTTCTTCTTCTTCTTCTTCTTCTTCTTCTTCTTCTTTGGTTTCTTGTGGTAGAAATTTAGCTTTGAGATTTTTCTGCTGTTCCGAGCATCTATAAATTTCCCTCTGAGCATTGCTTTAGCTACTTTGTTGCTTTAGCACTGTTCTAGTGCTTTTTCTCTAAGACTGGCTATAGCCACATATTTTGATATTGCTTTCATTTAGTTCTGAGTATTTTCTACTTTCTCTTGAGACTTGTTTTCTGACCCGCAAATTCTTTAGAAATGTGCTGTTTAATTTCCAAACACTTGAAGATTTTCCTGTCCTCTTTCTGTATTTGTCTTATTTAATTCAATTATGCTCAAAGAAAACAATTAGTATCATTTACATTTTTTAAAATTTATTGAAGTGTGTTTTATTACCCTCCCCCCCCACAAAAGAGCCTGCCTTGTTGAACATTACGTGTACATCTAAAAAGTGATATGGTTTGATTGTGTATCCACCCAAATCTCACCTTGAATTGTAATAATCCACATGTGTCAAAGGCAGGGCCAGGTGGAGATAATTGACTCATGGGGGTGGTTTTCCCCATATTGTTCTCGTGGTAGTGAATAAATCTCATGAGACCTGATGGTTTTATAAATGGGAGATCCCCTACACAAGCTCTCTTGCCTGCCACCGTGTAATGGGTGACTTTGCTCCTCATTTGCCTTCTGCCATGGTTGTGAGACCTCCCCAGCCATGTGGAACTGTGAGTCAATTAAGCCTCTTTCCTTTATAAATGACCCAGCCTTGAATAGGTCTTTATTGGCAGTGTGAGAACAGACTAATTGTCTAATACAGTTTACACTAATAATCCAGTAAATTGGTATCAGGTAGTGAGGCACTGCTGTAAAGATACCTGAAAATGTGGAAGCGACTTTGGAACTGGGTAACAGGCAGAGGTTGGAACAGTTTGGAGGGCTCAGAAGAAGACAGGAGGATGTGGGAAAGTTTGGAACTTCCTAGAGACTTGTTAAGTGGCTTTGAACAAAATGCTGATAGCGATATGAATAATAAGGTCCAGGGTGAGGTGGTCTCAGATGGAGATGAAGAACTTGTTGGGAACTGGAGCAAAGGTGACTCTTGCTATGTTTTAGCACAGACTGGTGGCATTTTGCCCCTGCCCTAGAGATCTGTGAAACTTTGAACTTGAGAGAGATGATTTAATGTATCTGGTGAAAGAAATTTCTAAGTGGCAACATGTTCAAGAGGAGGTAGAGCATAGAAGTTTGGGAAATTTTCAGCCTGATGATGCAGTAGAAAAAAAAATTTTCTGGGGAGTAATTCAAGCTGTCTGTGGAAATTTGCATAAGTAATGAGGAGCTGAATGTTAATCACCAAGCCAATCGGGAAAATGTCTCCAGGGCATGTCAGAGACCTTCACAGCAGCCCCTCATATCACAAGCCAGAGGCCTAAGAGGAAAAATTGGTTTTGTGGGCCGAGCCCAGCGCTCCCTGCTGTGTGTAGCCTGGGGACTTAGTGCCCAGGTCCCAGATGCTTCAGTCATAGCTAAAAGGGACGAAGGTACAGCTCAGGCTGTGGCTCCAGAGGATGCAAGCCCCAAACCCTGGCAGCTTCCACATGATGTTGAGCCTGCGGGTAAACAGAAGTCAAGAATTGAGGTTTGTGAACCTCCATAGATGTCAGAGGATGTATGGAAATGCCTGTGTGTCCAGGCAGAAGTTTGCTGCAGGGGTGGGTCCCTGCTAGGGCAGCGTGGAAGAGAAATGTGGGGTTGAAACCCCAACACAGAGTCCCCACTGGGACACTGTCTAGTGGAGCTGTGAGAAGAGGGCTATGATCCTGCAGAGTCCAGAATGGCAGAATCATGGACAGTTTGTACCGTGTGCTTGGAAAAGCCTCATACACTCAATGCCAGCCCATGAAAACAGCCAGGTATGGGGATATACCCTGTAAAGCCACAGGAGCGGAGCTGCCCAAGGCCATGGGAACCCACCTTTGGCAACATCATTACCTGGGTAAAATAACCTGGATGTGAGACATGGAGTCAAAGGAGATCATTTTGGAGCTTTAAGATTTGACTGCCCTGCTGGATTTCAGACTTGCATGTGGCCTGTAACCTCTTCATTTTGGCCAATTTCTCCCATTTGGAAAGGGTGTATTCACCCAATACCTGTACTCCCATTGTATCTAGGAAGTAACTAACTTATTTTTTATTTTACAGGCTCATAGGTGGAAAGGACTTGTCTCAGATGAAACTTTAGACTTGGACTTTTGAGTTAATGCTGGAATGAATTAAGACATTGAGGGACTGTCAGGAAGGCATGATTGGGTTTCAAATGTGAGGACATGGGACTTGGGAGGGGCCAGGGGCAGAATGATATGGTTTGGCTGTGTCCCCATCCAAATCTCAAATTGAATTGTAATAATCCCCACATGTCAAGGGTGGGGTCAGGTGGAGATAATTGAATTACAGGGGTGGTTTCCTCCATACTGTTCTCTTGGTCGTGAATAAGTCTTATGAGATCTGATAATATTATAAATAGGAGTTTCCCTACACAAGCTCTCTTGCCTGCTGCCATGTAATAGATGACTTTGCTCCTCATTCACATTCGGCAATGATTGTGATGCCTCCCCAGCCGTCTGGAACTGTGAGTCAATTAAACCTCTTTCCTTTATAAGTTACCCAGACTTGGGTATATCTTTATTAGCAGCCTGAGAACAGACTAATACAAAAAGTCTGTATATCCTGCTGTTGTTGATCATAGTGTTCTGTAAATGTTCATTAGATTGCACTTATTCATTCTTCTATATCCTTGCTGATTTTCTGACCAGAAGTTCTGTTTATTACTGAGAAAGGAATGTTAAAATCGCCAACTACTATTTTTGATTTGGTTATATTTCCTTTCAGTTGGGTCAATTTTTACTTCGCATATTTTGCAACCAATTTCATACACATTTAGAATGGTTATTTCATCTTGTTGAATTGGCCATTTTAGCATTATGTAAAATTCTTAATGCCTTGTAACATTTTTGGTTTGTTTTGATGTCTAATTTGTCTGATATTAATATAGACATGTTAATGTTTTATTTTAAATCAATATATTTTAGATGAGTTACTTGTAGACAGAATACCACTAGATTTTTGTTTTTATCCAACTTACTATTCCTGTCTTTTAATTGGTGTGTTTAGATTTTTTCCTTCAATGTAATTATAGACATTCTTAGATTAGGTCTACAATTTTATTATTTATTTTCTGTTTATTCCCCCTGTTTTCCCTTTCCTGCCTCTTTTGGATTACTTGAATAATTTGTAGTATTTCATTTTAATTAATCTATTCTGTATATAATTTTTGTTGTTATTCTAGCAATTACAATATACATACTTAATGTTATGCAGTCTACTTTGACTCAGTATTTTAACACTTCAGCTGAAATGTAGAAAACCTAATCCCTCAAAGACCCCTTAACAACCTCTGCCTTTATTGTAACAGTACTAAGAGGTGGGGACTTTAACAGGTGATTAGGTTACAAGGGTTCTACCATCATGAATGAATTAATGCAATTATCATGGTAGTAGGTTAGTTATCATGGGAGTAGCTTTATTATAAATGCAAGTTCTCTCTCACAAGCACTTTTTGCCCTCCCTTCTTTTTGCCATGGGATAATCCTTAGCAGATTCCGGCAGCATTGGGCTTTCCATCATTCATAATCATGAGCTGAATAAAGTTATTTTCTTTATGAATTGCTCAGTCTGTGGCATCTGTCATAGCAGCAGAAAATGGACAGAGACACAATCTGAACAGAGAAAATGAGCAGAAAAAAGATGAAGAAAGTCTTTGGCAGCTCTGGCAATAATAATAATAAAAAAAATCAACATTCATGTTACAGGATGTCAGAAGAAATGAGTAGAGCTGAGATGACAGAATATTTGAAGAAATAATAGCTGAAAACTCCCTAAAGTGATGAAAGATACAAACCTATAGATTCAAGAAGCTCAGAAAATTGGGAACAAGATAAACCCCTCAAATTCACCCTAAGACACATATTAATTAAATGCCTGAAAACTAAAAACATAGAAAATAATCCTGAAAGTGCTCTGAGAAAAACAAAACACTGCCTGTAGAAGAACTTCAGCTTTAAAAACTGTATATTTTTTGTCTGAAACTGTGGAGACCAGAAAGCAGTGATACAATCTATTTTAAATGCTAAAAAGAAACCCGTGGAAATTGTGCATCCTGTATACAGAAAAAAGTTTCTCTTGAATAAAGCTTAAAGGCATTATTAGCTGAAGAAAAAAATAAATAAATTTGACATTAGCAGATTTACCCATAAAGATGAGCTAAGTAAGGCTCTTAAAACAAAACAATAATAAGAACATCTGGAACATCAAGAAGGAAAAGAACAATAGAAAAAGAAGAAATATGGGTAGAAAATATAGAGTATTCTTTTCCTCAGAAGCTTTATAAAACATTTTCATGATTAAAACTAAAATTATAACATTATATGAAAAATAAGACAATGATATTTAAAAGTTGGGAAAGTAAAGAGAGAAAAATGGAAATAATGTGGTCATAGTCCACTTGAAGTTGTAAAATGTTAATACAAGTAGACTGTAAAAGTCATATTTGTATATTTTAAAATGCCACTCAATCAGTACAAGAACTATGCAAAAAGAGTGAAAAAGACTGTAATTTAATGATGCCACAATCCTAAATATAAGTTCAAGTAATGTACAGAAAGATAAATATAACAAATAAATGAGAGCAAAATAATAATACAGAAAGATAATTATAAAATGGTAGATCTAAGCTCTAACGTATCAATAATTACTTTAAATGGAAGTGGTCTATACATACCAACCAAAAGAGAGATTGGCAGAGTGAATTAAAAAATTACAATTCAACAATATGTAGATTACAAGAATCTCACTTTTAGTGACATGGGTAGGTTGAAAGTAAAGGAGTGGAAAAAGAAATACCTTATAAATATTAGCTAAAAATTAGAGTGCCATTATTAAATATAATAATGTAGACTTTGGAGCAAAGAAAATTACTTAAGAGAAATAAGGATATCATATAATGATAAAAGGGTCAGTATAATGGAATCCAACAAGAAGTTAAGCAGAACTACAACAAGAAAATCTCTACAAAGATGTAAATTAAACATTAAATTTCTATATAATCCATGGTCAAAGATGAGATTTCAAAGCAATTTTGAAAAACATAGGTAACTAAATGAAAATGCAGTTTATAAAAACATGTGGGGTTCTGTTAAACAGAAGTGGGAGGAAAATTTATGGCACTTAATGCTTACATTTACACCAAAGAAAAATCTAGAGTCAAAAATGTAAGTTCCTTTGTCAAGAAATAAAAAGAGAAAAATAAACTTAAAACAACTATAAGGAAGGGAATAATAAAGATAAATGCAGAAGTCCACAGCAATGATAATAGAAAAATAATAGAATAAATAAGGCAAAAAGCTGATTCTTAGAAGTAAGAAATCAAATTGATGAAATTCCAACAATATTGACAAAAAAATTAAAAAGGCATGAATTGTCAAAATCAGGTATAAAACAAGCAATGCAACTACAGACCCTTCTATCATTAAAAGAATAATCCAGGAATACTAAAAACATCTATACTGTCATAAATTTAACTATTTAAATAGAATGGGTCAACTCCTCAAAATCTGAAAACTGCATAAAAAACCTTGGTAAAATAGATATAGTAGCCTCATAACCATTATTTAATTTGATTTGTAATTTAAAATTCCCCAAAAAGAAATACCTTGGCTCAGTTAATTTCACTGAGGAATTCTACTATATATTTAAAAGAGTAATGAACACCAATTTTACAAATTGTCTTCAAGAAGATACAAGAGGTGGAAATGCCTTCCAACTCATTTTATGAAGTCAGTGATACTTTGATTCCAAAACTAGACAAAGATGATATAAAAATTGAAAATTACAGATAAATATTCCTCATTAATTTAGACCTAAAAAAGTAACAAAATAATAACACACTGAATACAAAAATATATACAAATAATTATACAACATGACTACATAGGATATATTCTTGTTATTCAAGCCTGGTTTAATATTTTAAAAATCAGTCAACATAGTCCACCTTATTAACAGACTAATGAAGAAAAGCATCATGATTATATCAATTGTTGCAGAAAATGCTTTTTATTAACCTATTTCCATTCTACCCTAATTCATTTTCATAAAAAATCCCTCAGAAAACAAGGAATAGAGGATATAGAATAGCCTAGGCTTGAATAAAGAGCATCTAAAGGATCTGATAGTCAACATCATACCTAACAGTAAATGACTGAATATCTTCCCCCTAATATTCACAAAAAACCAAAATGCCTCTGCTTTTATACCATTTATAAAACATAGTATTGAAAATTATAGTCACTGCAATAAGAAAAGAAAATAATAAAATAATAAATACAAGACATGAAGATTGGAAAGTGAAAACAAAATAAGAGAATAAAAACTGACACATGGCATAATTATCTACATACAAAATCCTAAGGAATCTATAATAAACTCCTGGGACCAATAAGTACGTGGAGGAAGGTGGCAGGACACAACATAAATGTATAAAAGCCAATCTCTGTATACTAACAATGACAATATGAAAACTAAAATTTAAAACAATTATATTTAAAATTGCTCCGAAGAAAATAAAATACAGTATCTGTATGCTGAAAATTAAAAATGCTAATGAAATCAGTCAAAGATGATTTAAATACTTGGAGAAACATACCATGCTCATTGAACTCGAAAACTCAATATAGTAAAGGTATCAACTCTCTTCACATTTATATATGTTTAATGCACTTCCTATCAAATCTCCAGTAAGTGATTCTATAGAGATTGCCAAGCTCACTCTGAAATTTTCATAGAAAGGCCTAGGCTCTAGAAAAACTAAAAGAATCCCAAGAAGGAAGATTAAAGTGAGACTTTAATCTACCTGATATTAAAGATTACCATATAGCTATGGTAATGAAGACAGATCAATGAAACTGAACAGAGCACCTGCAAATAGACCCACACATGCTCAGTTGATTCTGAAAAAGATGCAAAAGCAATTTAATGGAGAATAACCTTTTCTACAAATGCTACTGGATAAATTGGATATCTATGGATATCTATCTCACAAACCAACCAACCAACCAACCAACCAACAAACAGGCCAGGTGTGGTAGCTCATGCCTATAAACCCAGTACTTTGGGAGGCCAAGAAGGGAGGACCACTTATGGGAAATTTAGCTCAGAATAGATGTCATACAATTAAGTTTAAAATTTTAAAGTATAATACTTTTTTTAAAAATTGAAAGAAAAAATTTTGCAATATGGTACTACTAAAAAAATTCTTAGATTTGACATCAAAGTACAATTCATTAAAAATAATCGATAAATTGAACTTCATGAAAATTAAAATTTTGCTCTACAAATTAAATTGTTTGCCCCGCAAAAGCCATGTGAAGGAAATGTAAAGACTACAGAGTGGGAAGACTATTTGCAAACAACACAAGAAAAGGACTATTATCTAAACCATGTAAAGAATACTTAAAACTCAGCCGTAAAATTACTATCTATACGAGGGTGCGGTGGCTCATGCCTGTAATCCCAGCACTTTGGGAGGCCAAGGTGGGCGGATCACAAGGTCAGGAGATTGAGACCATCCTGGGGCAACACAGTGAAACCCCATCTCAAATGAAAAAAAAAAAAGAAAATAGCCACGCATGGTAGCACATGCCTGTAGTCCCAGCTACTCAGGAGGCTGAGGCAGGAGAATTGCTTGAACCCCGGAGGTGGAGGTTGCAGTGAGTCTAGATCACACCAGTGCACTCCAGCCTGGGTGGCAGAGTGAGACTCCATGTCAAAAACAAAAAACAAAACAAAAAAAATCTATTTAGAAAATGAACAAAAAGCATGGACGTTACACCAAAGAGAATACACAGATGATGAATAAGTGTATGAAAATATATTCAATGTCACTAGCCCGTAAAGAAATTCCAGTTAAACCCACAATGAAATATTACTACACACATATCAGAATGGCCAATGGAAAAAAAAATGGTAACACCTAATATTGGTGAGGTTGTAGAGAAACTGGAGCACTCATAGATTGATTATTTGACTGTAAAACAGTACAGATTCAATGGAAAACAGTTTGACAGTTTCTTATAAAAGTATACAATTACCATATGACCCAGCAATTGTACTCTTGAGAATTTATTCCAGAGAAATTGAAACATATGTTCACATAAAAACCTGTGCACAAATGTTCATAGCAGCTCTATTCAATATAGACCAAAATGGGCTCTTTACAGCTTTTGCCTATACTGAATGAAGACGGAGTCCAGGTGTCCTTTAATAGATGAATGTTTGAAATATTGTAGTAACTATATTCCATATACTACTTATCAATGAAAAGGAGGAAAGTGTTATTCATTCGATCATTTGGATTAATCTCTAGGAAGTTATACTGAGGAAAAAATCCTAAAATAATAATATTATATGATTTTATTTATGTAACATTTAAAAAATGTTATTTTAGAATTTTGGAAGTAGAAAAATGATTAGTGGTTTCTTAGGGGTGAAGGATTGGTTAGAGGATCTGAGGAAACGGTTATGGTTACAAAAGAGCAACATGAGGGATACATTTAGTGATGAAAGTCTTCTGTGCTAGTGGATACATGAACCTATGAGAGTCCAACATTGTATACAGCTAAATACACCCAGGAGAGACAAATACAGATACAACTGGAAAATTTGGTGGATGGGTGGGTTTTATCAATATCTTGGTTATAATATACTACAGTTTTGAAACATGTTATAGTTTGGGGTAACTGGGAATGCTGTACATAGATTCTATCTTAAAACTGTATATGAATCTAATGATCTCTATAAAAATTTGAATTAAATTATTGTTTCTAAGTATGTGTATGTAGGGGTGGGTTTGTGTTTATGTTTGTGTGTTCACATATATTGAAGGTGGGTGTCCCAATCCAAGTTCATTATGTCTCCCCAGATTGCTTCCCCTTCTGGGATAGTATCTCAGGATATTTTAGTGGTTAAATCATGGCATGACTTGGAGCCAACAAATCTGGCTTTGAGTGCTGATTCTGCTATTTACTAGTTTTTACTTTGATAAGGTGTCTTTAGTCTCTTCAATTTTCAATTTCCCCATCAGAAAAATGCTGTGTTTGTGTTTTTTAATAGAAAATAATCACCTTTGTAAATTATTTAGCTGACTTCTTTGCATATATTATTTGTTTATCTGTATCTCCAACTAATGATATTAATTTTTCAAGATACCTTTCTTCCAGAATTTATCATGTTCTGAAATTTTTTATTTGCCTTTTATTAGTCTTCTAGTACTTAGTCTCTTGTGATTATTGTAGTTAAATGCATTAATTTTATTATACTTTGATTGTTGAAATAATCTCTTAAATATCTTCCACTTTTTGTTACCTGGCGCTGGATTACAAAAGTAATTTTTCTAAACATGAGTTAGATAATGACAATGTAATGTATTGAGTTATTTTATTTCAGTATGAAGTGGACATGTAGAACAGAATAAAGGACAAAGGCACAGGAAGGAAAGTCAGACTACCTGAGTACTCTCTGACCTTGGCAACTCCCATTAACTTTCTGAGCTTCAGCTTCATAATCTGAAAAATGAGTTTAATAACAATAACTACCTCTTAGGTTCACTGTGAACATGAAAAGAGATGATTCCTCTAAAGTGCTTCTAGGAGTGCCTAGAACCTAGTAATCAGCAAGGAAATGAATAACAAACGTTCACAATTGGAAAGGATAATAGAAGTTTGCGGAACACTGCAGAGAATGATACTGTTTAGGAAAAGAGACTGAGGAATCATAAGTAAGTGAACAATTGTTGGATATAATCATCTTATTTCATGTTATGCTGTTACCTGGAAAGAAATAGTAATTCTCCAACAAGATTCTTTTGATTACACAGAATTTAGACCCAATGATAATTTGTGCTAATATTATTTGCAACAGTGTATCACTTTCTTCATTTTGATAGATTACAGTATTAACCTGTCTGGTAACAGTGAATAAATTAATTGTTCTTCAGAGTCTCTTTCTGACCCACTGTCCTTTGAGTGTACATGAAAGGTTTTGACAACTTAAATATTATTTAAATTTTCTATAAGACGTTATTTCTCTGTTACGGTCATTTTACTCCCTCTATCCATCCAGGCGATATTTGGCAACATTTGGAAACATTTTTGTCTGTCAACCTCAGGGAATGTAATGAGCACTTACATACATGACTTCATTGCTGACTCACACAGAGATTTGGCTGTTGATTGCTTTATAAATATCAGGATTCATAATAATTGTTTTGAATTTAAGAATATAGCATGCTACTGTGAAGTTTTATGTGTACCTAAGGATATTGCAAATTTTAATAAATGGAGGAACCCCAAATTGTATTTCTTAAAAAATAAGAATAACTTGTTTTTAACTTGTATATATTAAAATTTAAATTTATATACAATTGTTTTTCCAATGGAAAGCTAAAGACCACAAGAGGGCAGGGATAATGATGTAAGATTTAATAAGTGTTTAAATTAATAAATTAAATTATAAAATATTAGTTGATTTGGGTTATGATGTATAGTGAGAATAACACTTCGATGGTATAAATAATAATAATTTTCTAAGAATTAAAAATACACAAATAAGACTCAAATAGAAAGAGCCATTGTAGAATCGGGTATTTGGATTTTCACTTTGAACCAATGAGATTATCAGCTACATTTTTTTCCATGTGTTTTTATTTGTGCATTTGGTAAAAATAAATTATAAATATATGAATGCTTGAAGCCTCTGAGAATATTTTAAATCTCCTGGGAAAAATGTACGCTGAGTTTGGGTGTGATAGACAGACCTTCAGGCAAATCGCATTGGTTTCCATCTCCTGGTGTCCATGCCTCTGTGTAAACCTTCCCCCTTGAATGGGTGTGAGACTAAAACTTTTAAAACTTATTTCTAACCAATAGAAATGAATATGCATATATATATCATATATACATGGCAAAAATGATAAGGTGATAGAAGGTCAGTTCTGTGATTACATTACCTTACATAAGGTAAGGTATGATGTATCGTGGCAAAATGAAATAGAGATTCACCTTTCTGGCCCAATGAAGTCAACAATCAGTTTGGGGGAGCCTATGTGGCAAGGAACTTCTGTTGGTTTTTAGGAACTGTGAGTGGTCTCTAGGACAGGAAAAACCCCTCGAGTTGATAGCCAGCAAAATGCTGGGACTCTCAGTCATGAAGCCATAAGGAAATGAATTCTGCTAAAAGAAAGAGCTTGGAAGTGGATTCTTCCCCAGTCAAGATTCCAAATGAAAAACATTCCCCCAACACCTCCACAGTAGCCTTACGAGACCCTGAGCAAAAGTACTCAGCTAAGCCATGCTCCTGACCACAGAAACTGCAAGATAATAAAATGTGTGTTGTTTTAAGCTGCTAATAAGCCTCTGGTAGTTTGTTGTGCAGCAACAGAAAATTAATACAGTGGGCTTTGGTTTTGCAGATCTATCTATCCTCTACTTATTGTGGGATTTTAGGTATACACTGCAAGGCATGAGCTTTTAAAATATATGTGAGGAGTTTTTCAAGTATAATGGTCTACTGCATCAGCCAGGCTTTCATCACAGTGAAATCAACAGAAAGTCTCAATATTTAAACAAAAGTGGGTTAATATGAATCTCACTTAAAAACAAGTGAAAATTAGTGTTTAGAACTCTGACTTGTACCTAATCCATTCTTTTTTTTTTTTTCTTTGCTCGGCTTTCTGTTTTTAATGAAAGAATGTAGTTCAGAAATTTTGAAAGACATTGTGTTATGCATTGGTATAAATTGGAGAAAAAATATTTTAGATGATTCAAGAGTGAATGAGTCATCAACAGATGGTTTCAGTTAAGCCTTTTCTCAAAACACATACTTACCAGGGGGTAAAACAACTAGTGCAGATGTCTGGTTTAAACAAATTTGTTCTTTTTGTTTGTTTTTTAAAATGTAACTCAGGTAAATATGAATGTTTTAATTTGGAATGGAATATGTTATAAAATATTATATCTGTCACATGTTATAACCACACCACAGAAAAGTAGGTGATTATATTCAAGGTATTAAATATTTAGAGCAGGTCAAAAAGTGGGAATATGTAAAATCATGTTTGCATGTTAAAGGACCCTAATATTTTCATACAAATCATAACCTAATAAAAATCCTGGCTATGATTATGAATGTTTTGTTTGAAAGAAAGAAAAGAAAGAGTGAGGTTACACACATTTTTGGCCAACTGATATGGTTTGGCTCTGTGTCCCCACCCAAATTTCATTTGGAATTGTAATCCCTTTGTGTCAAGGGAGGATCCTGGTGGGAGGTGATTAAATTATGGGAGTGGTTTCCCCCATTCTTTTCTCCTGATAGTGAGTGAGTCTCAGGAGATCTGATGGTTTTAAAAGTGGCAGTTTTTCTTGTGCATGCTCTCTCTCTCATCTGCCACCATGTAAGAAGTGCCTGCTTCCCCTTATGCCTTGATTGTAAGTTTCCTGAGGCCTCCCCAGCCATGCAGAACTGTGAGTCAGTTAAATCTCTTTCCTTTGTAAATTACCCATTATCAGGAAGTTATTTACAGCATTGTGAAAATGGACAAATACACCAACTAATCAGCAAAATATTATATATTTTATGTTTTCTAATTGTGTATTGCAAAATAGTTTAGAATACCTAATGTGAAGAATGCAATAATATTCTAATAAAACTAGTAGAAGGAGGTATCAGGTATTTCTCAAGTTGATTTTATAATTCTGGTATAATGTTTAGGGTTCTCCAGAGAAACAGAACCGATAGAATATACGTATTCTTTTGTATTATTTCAAGGAATGTATGCATTATTTAAAAAATGTATTATTTTAAGGACTAGGCTCATATGATCATGGGGCTGACAAATTGAAAATCTATCAGGCAGGCCAGTAGTCTGGAAATGCAGGCAGAATTTCTATGTTATAGTTTAGAGGCAGAAATCCGTGTTCTCTGGGAAACCTCAGCTTTTGCTCTTATGGTCTTCAACTGATTGGACAAGGCCCACCCACATTATCTAGGGCAATCTTCTTTACTTAAAGTCAATTGATTATAAATGTTAACTACATCTACAAAATACCTTCACAGCAACACTTAGATTATTTGATTTATTAACTGTACTATAGTATTGCTAAGATGACAGAGAAACTGATAATCACATCTAGTTTCATAGTTTGCTTTCTTTTAAATGTATATACATATATGTACACAAATGACATATTATACATGTAATATATATTTCTACATATTAATTCAATTATTAGTTGATTGATATAATATCCATTAATACTAATATGTATTCATCAATATTATTTTAATTGATATATTATGTTTTATATATTCGTTAATTCAACTTCATTTATTAAACATTTTCTATACTGTGTTCTGAGACCCAAACAACAAATAGGGTATTATTCTTATATATTGGAGAAGTTCAAATTTCATTGAGATGAAATATAACTCAAGATTTTATGAATATTATTATAGCATTCCTAGTTTTCTGTTTGAAAAAAAGCCCTAAGTTGGAGATCATTTATTAAAAAATTATAGGGTAACTATATATGCAAGGCACTGGACTATATATGCCCAGTATAATTTAAGGGTTAAAAAAATAAAGTGTCTTTCCCCAAAGAGTTTAAAATCTACTGGGAATTGTTTCAGCTCTTAATTTGGCCACTGTGTAATACAGGACATATTACTATAATTTGAAATTCAGTTTTCTTATCTGTGAAATGGGAATTGAACTGAATAGTATTTCAGTAAGATTTTTTAATGATTCTAAAACATTATCATTTTCAAGACTGTATAGAAAGTTATTCTTTAGTGGGTAGAATAGGTGCATTATTTATATTAATTTGGTTTCAAGTAGAAAAATAGCAATTGATAGCATGTGTTTAAGTAGTGAGCTCTAGATATATTTTCTCTTATTTAGATCAACATCTAAATTGCCTTCATAAAACAATAAAAATTAATCTCAAAGACTGATAGAGAAAATTACCAATAAGTAGGAAATGCAGTGGCCAATAGCAGAATATGTTTTTTAAGTTTGCTTAAGCATTAGATGAACAAAACTTTTTTGAGATAGCTAATTTGTTATTAATTATTTATAGGAAACAATATCATGTGAGGCTTGAGGATTTGAAAAGCTGTATGTGTTCAAGATTGTTCTTTGCAAGTCGTGTTATGTTTGTCTCCAAATTAAATCTTGTTTTAAGATTTGGCCATCTGATAATAAAGGGGACCCATCATTGTAAAGTAGATATTATAAGGATGTAAGATTTTAAAAATATTTGAATGAGGTGATGTACTCTAATTCTTTGTATTAATTTTAATTTTAAAAATTACACAGGTCAATAAAATGATCACGATGCAATTGGTAGCATGCGTAGTTGATGATTCATGAATTTGAAGAAAAATGATACACTATTTTGTATATCTTGTTGAAGAAAGACCAAACCTTCCATTCTCTTACTGAACTGCTTATAATTTTCAATGCACATTGAAGTTTCATTCTTCATATTTGCTTTCTATTTTCATAGTGATTGGAATGGAATGTGATCTCCATCACTCAGCCATAATCCTGCCCTTTGTGGCCATAGCCTTTGACTCAGGCCTGAGTTCACCACAACTTATTTTTACAGTGATCCTGACATGCAGCCAGTCCACTTGGCAGTATTTTCACTCTTGCTTAGCTGATTTCAAAATGAAGATTCTTATTGTTTCTCTTCAAAGCATTTCTAGTTTCAGCAAGAAACCTTTTAAAATAAAACTGCTGTTATGCAAATGACTGAAGGCAAAATGCATTTCTTTTCCAATTCCCTGATTCTGTCTCAACTATTAAGTTCCGTAGAGCTCTCCACTTTTCAGTCTTATTTATAAAGATATTATCAAATCTAGCAATATTTTCTCAAGAAATTGCTGGGCAGTGAGTACTTTTTTATAATGGTGAATGGGTTCACTGTTTTCATATAGTATGTTGTAGAAAATATATCCAATGTGTGTGTAGCAAATGCTTGTCTTGTTGGGTATTAAATGACTGAATTGTTTATGACTATCAGTGAGGCAAAGGGAACATTGCAAGGTTTGGGACTGGAGTTATTTTCTTTCTGACTTTTGATGTTCTCCTTTTAAGGTTTTGTTTTGCTGCTTACTCTATGCATTATTTCATTTCAGTTTTTTTTCTTCCTTGGTGGACTTTTTACAACCTACTAGGAGTTGATGGGCTTCGAATTTTCAAGGTATAATTTAGTAGTTTTCTCTCAATCACAATGTTGAGTGACCATTTATTTATTTATTTTCACAGAACTAGTTTTATAACCAGGGTGGTTGCAAAAATAAATGGTAACTAAAGTATGTAAACTCATCTTGCTTGTAATTTTGGTTTATAGCTTATCCTAGTGGTTCCCAAACTTTAGTGTGCACCAGAATCACCTGGTTTAAAACCAACCAGACAGCTGGGCCCCACCCCAGAATTCAGTAGTTTTGAGGGGTGGGGTCTGAAATTTTGAATTTTGAATGACTACCCTGCCAGTGCCACTGCTGCTTGGCAAGAGACCACAGTTTGGAAATTACCTCTGCAGAACATGAAAGAATAGTAGACGCTAGTCATTTTGTTCAAATAAAATAGCACACTGTCATCTACTGAAGAGGGCACAAATGCCATTGTTCTTAAGAAATAGCTGTGACTTTCTCTTCTTAAAACAGTATACCTTCTTTAAGCTTAGCTCTTGCGTTCTGTGAATAAAACTCGAATTGAAGGAATGGCCATATTTCTGACAAGTCATGAGGCTTACCAAGGTCAATTTCATTTGCTGTATCACTTAAAATACAATTCTACTTACAATGGCCTGGCATGGATGATTGAACTTTTTTTAATGTACACAATACATTTGACACTGAGAAATAAGAAGCTATGAAAATAAGGTTGATAGCCAGTAAAGAAGTTTTTCCTTAAATGGTTGCAATCTGCCAAGAGCTGATAAGGAAAGAATCCTGTGGGGACAATGACAAAAAACTTAAATCCATCAAACCCATGTCAGCACTAGGCAAGAAAACAAATAGAATTCCAGACAATTCAGAACAAATACTACAAATCAGAGACCATACTCTAACCTCCTTTCCATCTTACACTTTTGAAAGACAACTTAGAAGTGCAAAGGACAGTGAGCAACTCCACGCTAATAGTTAACATTGAGCCTTTATTTTGACTTTCTTCTGTTGAGCTGGAGTTAAATTTGTCTTCAGTAAAAACTTTGCTCAGCTTCTCTATGGTGCATATCATATTGTCTCTAATGTAAAATGTTCAAGAAAAAAAACTGAGGCTGAGCAAAGGTAATTTAATTATTTAAAGTTGTGTGTTAATTATGATGAATTAGAGTAATGAAATTATGCTTAGCAGATTTCTGTTGTGCCTTTACATTCTCTGTTCTAAATGGCTTTGAAGTTATAAAGTATTATTGGAGAAGGATATTACCATATGAAGTTAAAATTATTAATCTTAGCTTCATGGATTCATACCCATGAAGTAGATAGTTAATTATTCCTCATTTTTCACATGGTATTATATAAAAGGTATGTCACAGATTTATAATTTTTTTTAAATTTTGACATTAAAATGAGTTGTGTGTCAAATTTTGATGCTGCTTCTTACACAGAGTACTTAAAATGAATGGGAGCAGAAAATGGATCAACTGGAGTTGTTGTGACTTATGTTATCTTATACTTTACAACATTTTAAAGTTGTTCAGCTAAGGTAGATGGGCATAAAGCTAATAATATCAGTATCGCTCTATCATTGAAAGATTGCCATATGCAAGGTAGTACTTCCCAGGCTGTGGACTGCACAACTTCTTTAAAATGTTTTACAGATGACATCTCATGGAGTTTGTGGAATTTTAGATTTAGGGAAGTCAAATAACCTGAAAATCTCATGCAGATGCTAAATGCTGAAGCTAGAATTTGAACTCATCTTATTCTTTTAATTATACTGCCTTATTACAAGTTTATATTAATGCATTCAAGGTTATCTATATGTGTGAACAACCTCCTCCTGTTGATAAAAAGATACTAATATAAATGATTTCCCAAAGTGGGATTTTATAAAAGACTGCATAGAAAGTAAATGCTGTTGAAACCAGGTAGGGGTGGGGATAGCCATAGATCTTTATAGTACAAATATATTGGTATATTACAGAAACATCCTGCTTAGTTGAAATGCAAAAGTGATCAAGAAAACAGTGCATCGTTTTGTGGATTTATAAGAGACTTAAGAAATCCAGGGTGAGATAGCTCAGTGAATGGTGAATATAGTGAATGTCTGTGAAATAAGAGGAAATAAAGACTCCCTAGCATAGAGCAAAAGATATTGACTTTAATGATGTTTTTCTTTTTCTCATGTATTTTTTTTTCTTGTTCCAAACTGTAAAATAATATGTGCGTTTGTTTTCTGCTAAATTGTTGTTTTACTGAATTCACTGCTTAACTTATCAATGATAAAAGGAGTTATTTCAAAGACTTGGCCAAGGCAGCTGAAGGTAGGAGAATAAACCAACTTCTTGCAAATAAGACCAACAAAAACAAAACAAACCTAGAGTGGTGATTACTGATAAGGTTTGGCTCTGTATCCCCACCTAAATTTCATGTTGAATTGTGATCCCCATTGATGGGGAGGGACTTGGTAGTAGATTATTAGATCATGGGGGCAGATTTCTCCCTTGCTGTACTCATGATAGTGAGTTCTTACGAGATCTGGTTGTTTAAAAGTGTGTAACATCTCCCCTTGGTGCTTTTCCTCCTTCTCTGGCCACATAAGATGTGCCTGCTTCCCCTTTGCCTTCCGCCATGATTACAAGTTTCCCGAGTCTTCCCCAGTCATGCTGCTTGTACAGAGTGTGGAACTGAATGGATTAAACCTCTTTTCTTTATAATTTACCCAGTTTTACTTATTTCTTTATAGCAGTGTGTGAATGGACTAAGGCAGTTAGTGAAGGAAAGCTTCTCTCGGTATTGTTATGGTGTTTGGGCTCAGTTTTACTCATTGTCTTGTAGAAACTCTGAAACAAATCATCAGCCTCTAGCAAGTATAGTTTGAATTAAAGATAGAAAGTATAAAGCATGTCTATTTTTCTTTTATTTAATTTCAGTTGCTTGAGAAAAGAAAAAAAAGAAACATGTAGATAAAGATAATTTATTCAGAAAAGTAGTCAAGAAAATAGCATGGCTTCAATGCAGAATATTTGAGTCATTTTAGAAATAGCATCAAACTGGCAGAAGTTTGAATAAAATGACAATGATGTAATAAAATAGCAAATGTACTATATATCAATAATAGAAGTGGTAAATTATTTTAAATAAGTTAATTATAAAGGTAAATTTTTACAAAAATGATAGGGCCAGAGAGATATTAATTTAAAATTATGTGAAAAAAGAGACATTGAATAGGGCTATAACTTTATCATCTTGATATCACATAGTATTGATTCATCAGTAAGGAAGATTTTTTTAATTTATGATACTGTATAAAATACTTGAGTTTAACTAAGAAAGATCTCATTAAATTATTTTGTAATCACCAAACTAGGGTATTTTATCAAGATAATAAGCATTCTAATGATCAGATAATCCCTTAAAAGATCTTTAGGTAGCCAAATGAAAATATGCAGGTACAAATTGTTTTCTTTCAAGCAAACAGTATTATTACACCCTAGTTAATTGAATCCCCAGAACTGATTACAATATTACTTCCTTCCACGAGTATACATTTAATAGCAGTAATTTTCCTTCAAAAAAGTAATGTTAGATTAACAAACATTGACATTGGTCTAAAGGGGACTTTTATACATCTAAGAAATAATTGTCAGTAGCAATTAAGCTGTTTCACAGTTAAAGCTTACTGAAGGAAGTAGGGAAAAATGAACAAAGTATTCTGTAATACGAAATTTACCTACTGCATACCTGAATCATTGAAAAAATACATACTTGTAAGAAATATAGAGCGGGCAAGAATGAATTAAAATATAGGTGCTAAATATGAAGTAAGATCTACGTGTTCATTCATTAATTCTGACAATATATTTATAGAATGACTAATGTGGCCTTTTTGTGTAGAGTTTACATTAATTCAGTTTTCTTGGAGAAAATATTTAGAAGTTTAAAATGTTTGCTCTGTGGAATGAGAGGTGCAGTTGACTGAAGACATAGAAATAACTGAGAGCACAGTTGAGATTGGAGGAAATGAACATGGTACTCTTCAAAACAAACTGATGTAATCTAGAAGCATTCAGCAGCCTCTTGATAGCCATAAAGAATGCATACAATTTACTGCATTAGTTTGAGGTGTAGCAAAGTGGTAGATGTACGTTGAAGTGTTGTGTGAGCTTCAGTTGCACAAAAACTTAATGTAGAACTGCAAGAGAAAAAGTCTATTGACTACATGAAATTTTAACATCAAAAGGATAGGTGGAAAAATTAAAACCAGCAAACAAAACTTGAATCAGAAATATAGGAAGAAAATTAGATCAGAAGAACATTAACACAAACAAAATTGCAAAAGAGATGTTAAAGAGGAAAACTATTATTTTCATTTTCAGTGCTCCAGAAAGCTTAAGGAAGACTGGGTACAAATGTTAGGGATGTCAGGAAAAGTCTCTCAGATGTTGTTATTTCTATGTTTGAACCAAAGCAAGGACCAGATCACCAGTGTACTTAATTCATAAATAGAAATTGGTGCTGCTTTATCAACACTGCTGGTGAGAAAAATCTCATGTTTTTATTGTGGTGAAATTCACATAGCATAAAATCAATCATTGTAAAGTGTGAAATTAAGTGGCATTTTGTACATTCACAATGTTGTACAACCCAAAGCCTCACTTTTAATAAGCGTAGTTTGTCTTGAAACATAAAATGAAAAAGCCTGAAGAAATCATATAGGGAAAGTATTGACTTGTAGCATAGACCCGAAAGAAATGAAAGAGAACGTTTGGAGTAGGTATGGGAATGATTCCACTCTTTGCTGACTAATGGATTAAATTATGGTCTAGGATATCTAACAAGAAACAAGAACATCTCCATCTGGTAGCAAAGAACTGACTTTGAAGGAAACACCCACAGTGCTACTTCAGCTAATCAAGGATTGTAGCAAAGCTGTGGTTTTCTTGATAGCTTTATGTCCCCTTACAGTTGTGCATACTTTATTTTCCAACAAGTACCATCTTATTTGGTATTATAAAAATTTTATAGCATGCTAGGTCTTTTTTTTCTTCTACTTTTTTTTTTTTTAATGGAGCAATTACGTCTTGCAGAACAGGCTATTTTAAATCATCATTTAAATATAAAATATTTAAAAAATAGAGTTATAAAATGATTTTCCTATACATGCAATTAGTGAAATTATTTCTGGGAATTATAAGCTCAGGTAAGAATTTTAGTGTTAGGAGGATATTGAATGAAATGGAAGAACTGTCACATATAAATGATGAGATTAGATAGATTTGGTTTTGTGGTGTCATGATATATACTGGCTTTCATCCAAGGTTCCTGGCTCACAACTTCTGTAGCCCTTGTTACAGTCTTTTGTTATAATGTTGGGTGTGTTAGGCCTCAGGCGCAGGCCTCTAACCTTCTCTTTCCCTCCTTTCTCCTACCTTTATCTCACTGACCCCAGGCAGGATTCTACTCTTCCCTGGCCTTTCTGATCGTGGGTCTTAAGGCCTTTCCCAGAGATGGTCCTGCCCTATATTCTAGGCGGAAAGAATACTGATGTCCTAAAGCTTCCATAAAATCCCAAGAGGATTGGTTTAAGGGAGCTTCCAGATAGGTGAACACATGGAGATTCCTGGAGGGTGGCACACCCAGGGAGGGCATGGGAGCTCCACACCGTTTTCTACATGCCTTCCTATGCAACTCTCCATAGATATCCTTTGCAAAACCAGCAAATGTAAGCAATTGTTTCCCTCAGTTCTGTGAGTTGTTCTAGCAAATTAATTGAACCAAAACAGGGAGTCATGGGAACCCCAATGCCTGATACGTGTTAATCAGAATTTCAGAAGCCTAGAATTGTGACTGGTGAGCAAGGGGCAGGCTTGGGTACTGAGCCCCACCCTGTGGGATATGCTATCTCCAGATAGACAGTGTTGGAACTAAATAGGAGGACACTCATATGGTGTCCACCGCTTGGTGTGTGGGGAAACTCCCCCCTACATTTTGTCACGGAAGTCTTCTGTGTTGATTGTTGTGACATGAGAGTAGAGGAAAACCATGGTTTGAGAAAATTTTCCCCACACAGGTTGTCTTAGGGGAGAAAACAAAAGCTAGCAGATAAATGTAGAAAGAGAAAAGAAGACGGTGGTGATGGTAGCCTAGTGTGCCAGGGAGCTGTTGCTTTTTCTGAGTCGCTTTATTCCAGGCTCTGTCAATGGTCGGCATGGCCCGTGGAAATCAATGAGAACTTGTCCACCAGAAAAAACATGGAGAAAACCCAGGAAAATAGTAAGGGGAAAAGAAAAGAGGATAGGTTGACTACCTCTCAGAGAAAGCATAGGGACTCTGAGCTCATGCAACAAAAGCAGAAGGCAGCTAATGAGAAGTCTATGCAGACAAAAGAAAAATAATGACTGGCTATTTGGAAAACATGGGTGCTACTGCCAACTGGGTGTGTCATAAGCTTTAAGGTCAAGATTCTGTAGAGTGAATAGTCATTACATATACTATGACTTATACTTTAAAAACTATTTTAAACTTTACCTTTCAGCTTGACTTAGTGTGATGTTTTAGAAGCATTCTTCAAAGAATAAAGCACTAACCATAAAAAAAAAGTACAAATATGAAGATTGAGAATAAGAGTGGAGGCACAGATGTGGGGAGTCCAACTGCTGGTTGTTTTTAATAGGAGAACTTGGTTAAGTATTTACACTGCTTTCTTTTATTAAAAACCATGATGACCTGATTCAGATAGTTTCCCTTCTGCTATGAACATGAGATCATAGATGAAACAAAACCTTCAAAGTAAGATCTAACTAAACACCAAAGAATAAAGGAAGGATTCAAAGAGCACAAAATATAATAAAAGTCAACATGGCGAGAGCCGATGGCACTGCAGCCCACAGTAATTTTTACCCTGTATTTAGGCATGAAAGGCTGAGTGTAGGCTTGTCATTCACACAGGAAGACCAGAGAGACAGCCTCAGGCTGTTGCAGGTGGGTAAACTGGATTTTCTAATCCTGCATAAAAATATGCATGAAAATCTTTTCATAGAGATTCTCCACTTATGAAAAGTGACCTAGAAAAACTTCACATACATACAAAGAGATTTGGCCTTAAAATTTTTGCTCTGCCTAGGGTCCTAGGTATAAAGGAGGGAAGAAGAGAAGGCACGTATAAAAAATCAAAGCCCCGGGGCCCAAACATGTCCACATTTAATTTTTTTTTCTGTCTAAAATCATTCCAGGACCGTTGTAATCCATATATCCTCATCAGTAATAAGAAAATTGAAATAATAAAATCAGAGAAAAAGAAAAAAGTTAATGCTGAAAATGAGCTCACACAACTGGATTACATGATACGATTAGAATCTTAGTAGATGGAAATAAACAGAATTAGGCATTAAAGTATTATAAATATGAAAATCAGAGAAAAACTTCTAACTAAATATGCTGAAGTTTATTGATGGGATAACAAAATAGAATTATATATATATTTTATAATATACATATTGTTATATATTATTTATATTTATTATGAGGAATTGGCTCATGTAATTATAGAAACTGAGAAGTCCCATGATCTGCTGTCTGCAAACTGGAGACCTAGGAAAGCGAGTTGTGTAATGTAGGCTGAGTCTGAAGGCCTGAGAACTGGGGAAGTCGATGATATAAATCCTAGTTCAAGGGCGGAAGATGACATGAGATGTCCCAGTTCGAACAGTGTGGCAGAAAAAAAAAGGGGGGGTAGATTCCTCCTTTCTTTACCTTCTGTTCTATTCAAGCCCTCAGAGGATTGAATGATACCCAACCATGTTGGGAAAGGTAATCTATTTTACTCAATCCACCAACTTAAATTCTAATTTCATTTGCAAACACCCTCACAAACATACCCAGGGAAAATGTTTAATCTAGGCACCCCATGGAGCATTCACATAGATGCATACCATTGTCTGTCATACTCAATGAGCAGACTAAGAAGATTAGGAAGAGCTAACCAGAGAATTAGTGACCTGAGAGGTGGCTCTAAGAAAACTACCTTACATACTACAGAGAAATTTAAACAGATGGTGTTAGTAACTGTAGGGCACACAAAGCGTTTCCTGGGATATTCATGATATTCTGCTTCTTTATCTTGGGACAGATTCCGTGAGCATGGTCACATTCTGAAAATTTGTGAAGCGGTACAAGGGAGAATAATATATTTCTATAAAAAGGTTAAAAAAGCTTATAAGTACAAAAATATGAAATGTAACATTTTAAATTGTAAAGTGAAAAAAATTATATAAAAAATTTCTAGTAATTTTAGAGAAGTAAAAATGGAATTAAAAACAAGGAAAAGAAACCATGAGGACCAGAAATACAAAGCACAAAATAAGATGGTTGAACTAAATCTAAATTTAAATCTACCTATTTAAATACGGGAAATATTAGCTTTGATAAAATAACAACATTTTATTTGAAATAATCATACCTAAAACTTAATGACTAAGAAATTTTGAAATTCAAGAAATAAAAAAAGTTGACCAAGTATTAATTGCATAAAAATATTAATATATAGACTTTATTACAGATAAAAGAAGTCATTAATAATAAAAATAATTCATTAGTCAGATCTTGTAATCTTATATCTAAATATCTGTAATTCAGTAATTACTTAAAATTATTTTTTAAGAGAGGCTTTAACATTGCTAAAAGAATTAAGAGAAGATGAATTTTAACAATGGAGAAATAAAGCTCAGAGGAACAAGTGGGATGTAAGGGGCAAAAGAACGCATTAAATTGAACTTATGTAACATTCTTCAAGTTATGAGTTTAAGCAGAATTCAAAGTAGAGCTCATTGATCATTTAAAAATGTAAAGAACTGAATGGAAAGAATGTATGATAGTACACTTATTAATACTTGTGAAATGCAGCAAAAGCCATAGACATTTATAATTTCAAGTATATTTTTTAAAAATTAAGAAAATAAGAAAATGTGAGCTAAGTATTAAACTCAAATAGTAAAATAATAATAATAGTACTTGTAAAAATGTAGAAATATGGAGATAGTTAAGATAAATTAATATTAGATTAATATTAAAAAAACAAATACTATTTATAGGTGTTACTAATATACAATTTCCAAAAGGACTTATCACAAAAAGATAATAGGCTTAATTTTTAAATAATTGAGACATAACTATAAGTATAGCAAGATAAAAACAAAAGTAAATGGAAGACAGCTTTGTTTGCAATATCAAGAATTGGAAAAAACTAAACATCTATTAACAGGGGAATGGATAAATACATTTTTCCATAGATATATGATGGAATATTATGCAGTAGAAATTAATGAACATATACCTGTGTGGATAAATGTCAACTATAAGGCTACATAAAAATCCAATTCTAAGAATACATATAGATGACACCAGTTGAATAAAGGTTTAAACATACATAATGATATCAGCTTTAAATCTTATATCATCAGATCATGCTAGCCATTCCTCTATTTTTGCTCCTACCTGCCATGTAAAAGCTCTCTGATCAGTTCCCAGTATCAACTTAATCTTTTACTTTCTGATTTCCCATCACTTTCTCCAATACTGGTGCTGTCATAGTTCTTGATGATTTAAAAGACAACCCATTATCTTCCATTTTCTGGCATCTCAGTTCCTGTCAGTTCTTTTATCTAATGATCTTCACCAATATCTCCACTCACAAGTCTAACACTCAGTCATTGGGCTCTCCAGCCATTACTTCCTGTCTTTGTGGCTAACGCTCCAGTATTGCCACAGCTTTGATCTCACTATGATTTACTGTATTAATTTTCTAGGGGTGTCTTAATAAAATACCTTACTACCTAGTTCACTGAGAAGGAGGAGGCAATCAGAAGAGACTTTCTACAACCCCCACTACAATTTCTAATAACCTACTTGCATTTGAACTCATATTTTCAACTTCTTCCTCTGCATATCTTTCACCTTCATACTTATGAACTAGGTCGTCTCCCTATCTTCCAAAGTCTTTGTTTTAGTGATTTTTTTTTTTTGCTCAACCATTCCCTTTCTACTGGAACTTTCCTATAAATATATAGACATGCTGTTGTTTCTCACATTTTTAAATGGCCTCTTAACCTTGAATTTCTCAAATACTGCTCCACTTATCTCCTTGTCTATATCCATGATTCCCAGTTTTTCTTCCACTATTCTCTACTGAACTCCTACCAGCAAGACTTCATTGTTACTACCTAACCAAAATGGTTCTTATCGAGGTCACCAATGACTTCCAATAAGAGAATTCCATGGTTATTTCTCAGTCCTATTTTACTTGATCTGTTAGCATTTGTCGTATTTGTTACTCTGAGGACATCACACTCTCCTGGTTTTCCTTCTTTCTCAAAGGATAATCTCAATCCCATAACTGGTTTCTCCTCATCTCACAATCCCATTGTTGTTGCTCACTGGGAGTTAGTGCACCTTATAATGACATTTTGATCAATAATGGGCTGTACATAAAATGATGGACACATAAAATTATAATGGAGCTGAAAAATTCCTATCATCTAGTGACACCGTAACCACCACAATGTCATTGTGCAACCCATTACCTTTGCTATATTTAGATACACAAATACTTACCATTGTAATACAATTACCTACAGTATTCAGTGCAGTAACATGCTGCAATAGGTTTTTAGCCTAGGAGCAACAGGCTATATCATACAACCTAGTCGAGCAGTAGGCTATACAATCTAGCTTTGTTTAAGAACCCTGTGTGATGTTCACACAACAACAAAATAGCCTAAGGATGCATTTCTCAGAGTGTATCCTTATTTAATGATGCATGACTGTATTTGGACCACTTCTCCTTACTTTCATGCTAATTCTCTTGAAGCCGATTCAGGGTCATTTATATGGTAATGCTTCCAAATTTTATATTTACAATCTTCTTTCCCCTTCAGTCCAGCCTCATATATACAACTGTACCCTTGGTATCTTTGCCTGATATTATAATATACATATTTAATTTAATGTGTTCGAAACTGAGCTCCTGATCATTCTGCTGCCACTGCCTCCAAACATGCTCTTTTAATAGATTTGTTTGCTTGTTTGTTTCTGCTAATGATAGTTCTCTTTCCAATAGCTCAGAACTAAAATCTTGACCTATGCCATCATTATCTTTCACCTGGATTATTTTAACAGCCTCACAAGTGAACTTCCTGCCTTCTATCAAGCCCACCACTGAAAAACAAAACAAAAACAAAATAAATCTAGTCTATTTTCAACATACCAGGATTTTTTGATTAAAATATCAATGATATCATGCCTATTCTCTGCATAAAATTCTACCAACTGGTTACCATCTGACAAAGAGTTGTTAATAAGTTATTATGAATGCCTCCAGCCAGTCCAAATCTGTACACTCCTCTAGACTCTTTTGTCTCTCTGATTTCATTTTCTGCTCCTCTCCTCCTTTCTATATTTATTTTTTTACTGTTCTTTATATATATCCAGTATATTTTCAATCCTTCATTTCCTTTAACTACTTACTCAAGAAACAATACATTGTCTGTGAAACTTGACACGGACGACATTTTCCTTTTATCTCTTACCCTCATCTAACATATTATATATTTTAGAAATTTATTTTGCTCACTGCCTAACTTACTAAAATGCTATCATTATGAGAAGAAGGATTTTGGTCTGTGTTTTGTCCTTTGTCCTATTTCTAGTAGCTAGAATAATACATGCACTTAATGTAATAGTATATACCACTTAATATTTGTTGACTGAATAGATAAAAAATACGTGTGTATATGTATGTGTGCACTATGGATATATAAATATATAGCAAACATGAGGATCTGTGCATGGAAAAAATAAACACCAAATTGGGGAGCTTCATCTCTTAGGTGGATAAATACAGGAAAGAAGCAATCTGAGGAGTACACAAGGAGATTCAAAATATTTGTGTTTATTTCATTAGTTTAGTGAAGAATATATGAGTATTTGTTATATTATTTGTACTTTTTTGTATGTCAGAAAATTAATTTTATATGAAAGTAATGACATACTAATCATACTGTGATCTAATTAGTAACTACTTGGATAAAATTCTATTATGCTATGTTGTCTTCTTGAGCACTATCTTAAAAATTCCATGTATGTATTTAAAAAGTTGCTTGATTTTAAAAATATCCTTCATTTCTCTATTTTTCATAATTTTAGACATATGAAATAGAGTAATGGCTTTAATTTTATTTTTCAAAAGTTCTAGCATCTGTGTCACTTCTCTGTCAGTTTTCATTAATTGTTTTTTATCCTCATTATAGGTCATAGTTTTCTTTTTCTTACTACATCTGTTTCTTAGACTGGATGCCAGACAATTTGAATTTTACATTCAAATGGTGCTGTATAGATTTGATTTCCTATACATGTTTTTGATTAATTTATTTGAAACAGTTGAATCCACTTTGTTCTATTTTTTATTTTTGATTTGTTAGGTGACTCCATAGCAGTGTTTACTATAAGGCTAATATTACCCATTACTGAGGTAAGAGTCCCCTGAATATTCCATCGAATGCCCTGTATATCCTGAAATTGTCCAGTCTTGATATTTACTGCCCTTTGTGAGTACCAGGCACTGTTTCCTCTAATTTTATTGAATGATCTTTCCCACAATTCTAAAGTAGTTTCCTCACATGCATGTGATGCTCAGTACTTTGCTGAGTACTCAGAGGAGACTCTGTAGACAGCCAGAATTTTCTCCCTGTGCAGTTTTCTCCTCTCTGGTACTTTCTCCTGCAAATTATAGCCACTTAGTCCTCCCCAGGGCCTCTACTAAGCTTCCTCAACTCAGGGAGTCTTCAGGACTCTGTGCCAAGGCTGGAACCTTTCTCAAGGCAATAAGCTGAAATAAATGTAAGATTCCTCTGGTTTGCTTTCCTTCTTTCGGGTATCACTTCTGTCTGGTATTAAGTGTCTTAAAAACTATTGCTTTTTTTCTTTTCTTTTTGTCTTGTCTTTTGGTTGTTTCAGATGGGATTATAAGTTTGTTCCTTATTATTACACCTTGACCAGAGCTTGTGTTTTATTACTATCACTTTCAAATATATGTACTCTTTAATCGTATTTGATTTAAAAAATAGTTTTCTTCTTTCTTTCTTCTGCTTTTTCATTTCTCCAATACCTTTATGCATTTCCCCTTTCCATCTTTTGCTTTTCCTCTGCTTTTTTTTTTTTTTTAACTGTGGTATCTATTGTTTTTTTTGCTTTGTACTCCACCCTCCAATTTCAACCCCAGTAACTACTGGTGTCTGAGACGTTTTGTTTTGTATCTTCCATTTGCCTAGGCAAACAGTTCTGAGGTTTTTTATTTCTAATTTTAGCTGCTCTTTCAATGTTTGCATAACTTTTTATAATTTATTTTTCCCTCACTTATATGTATTAAATCAATGCTTTCATCTTCTTTTTTGTTGTGTGTTTCTGGTGTTTTTCCATTATTTATTAAAACACCCTCTAGTTTCTTTTTATCTTTTTTTTTCTTGGAATACACTTGCATGGAGTTAGATTTTATTTATTTTATTTTTTTGCAGTATTTGATGTTTAAATGATGTGGGTTTTCTGGGAAGATTAGCTTGGGCACATTTTCAAACTTTTTGTTTTTTTAAATCACTTGCTATCTGTGATCTACTCCCACAAAATCTAATGTCTAATATTTTGGCCCCGCTCAATTTCAATTTTGTACTCAGTATTTGGTCTCTATGTGAACTGTTTTCTTTTATAAGAGAGACTTAGCTTGATATTCCTAAAATTTTCAGGGGAATATACTAAGATAGCAATATTAGACCTTTTAGGTCTGCTCACAAGTTTTTTCATTGCTATTAATTCAGCTCCTGTGAGAAATTTTCCTAATTTCACTGGTCATTCCCAGCTGCATCTATTCAGGTTACCACTCAGTGTAAAACATGCTGCTTGAAGTGATAAGAATAAGTTGGCTTTTGGGGGAGGAAGGGTATTTCCATGAAATTGTGGATATTTTTGCATTTCATTTTCACGCTGTCATTCCCAGTTGTTACTTTGGTGGTTTGACCAACTCCATTTTTATTTTCAGATTCATCAGGCTTCTGTTGCCTATTTTTAAAAAGATATAATCAGATGTTAACAAGTGTTGACTTGTTTAATTTTTAGCAAAAGTGTGGAGGCAATTTTAATATACTCAATTTTACTATGTGTATAATTTTGACAAAAGAAAGCAAAACTTACAAGAGAAAAAGAAAATTTAATGAAAAATATATTAATAACCATAGTAAGAAATAATATACAAGGATAAATCTAACAAAGGAAATCTTTATCCATATTTCTGGATAAAGTTTATAAACCTTTTGAAGGAAATAAAAGTATGCTAAATAATTAAAGATATATACTGTGCTTGTGGGTGACAAAACTTAGCATTACAAAGATTTTGTAATGCTTAGCATTACAAAGATTTTGGCCAAGCAATTTTATTCATTCATTGTATCATAGAATCTCATCAAACTCTTTGTTAAATATATACTAAAGTTTAAAAAATTGCCAAAATATTATTAAAGAAGAAAAAAAGAGAGCTTGTCAATATTTATTGTAATGATAACATTTGTATGATTACAATAATGCATTAGTAATATACAAAAGCAAACTTATGGATACATACATGGTAAACTTATTCAAGTGAGGGCAAGGATATCATATAAACTGAGAATGTTTATTTATGTGAAGCAAAGATGAGGAATGTGATTGTAAAGATACACAAAGAGACTGCAACTTCATTTGTTAATGTTTTAGTTCTTTAATAAATATGGGAAGTAAAAATGGACAAATGTCTACATCATTAAATCTGAATCATTATTCTTAATATGTTAAAATTTATTATTCTCTTCCTTCTTTTTCACCTTCTCCCCTGCTTCCCTTTCTTTCTTTCTTTACCCCTCTTTTCATTGTTACTTCTCCTCCTCCTTCTCTCCTTTTCTTATTTCTTCCTCTGTCTGTTGTCAGGAACTGTGCATTATTTTTCAAATATATCTAAATTATTTGGTTGTTTTTGATTTGTCATTAGAGAGTGATCCAGGTTCTACAAGAAAAAGAAAATGTTTATATTGTTCTATTGCTCTCCTCTAACTTCCTGTTTTTATTTTGTGTGGTAGTATGAATGGAATCTATGAACAGAATTTATGAGGAGAAAACAGCTGTTAGCAGCAAAATGATAGAGTTCATTAGCTGTCCTTACAATATGCATTGCGCATAATTGCATGGTTCAAGTTTTAATTTAGTTTTAAAGTCTTTTAAAAATATATCGGTAATTACCAGACCACCAGGCACTAAAACCCATGATGAGTAATCAGTTTTGGATAATACTTTAAGTACTGCAAAGCTATTTGATTCCTTAAAAGGAGGCAGAGTATACAATATTAGGTAATAAGCCTAGCTAAAATTTTTTCATATATGGAAAAAACTAGCTATCTGGAATTTCTGTAGTCATTTTTAGGAATTGTGTTTGAGGCAGGGCAATAGCAACACAAATAATATGGTGGACAATGAATATCTGTTACTCACTTGGAATGAGTGAAAAAGTGTTTCATGAAGTGAAGCTCATATTCAGTTACACATGGATAAAAGCATGTCATTCTGAATAGTGGGGTGAAGGGGGGTCTATTACCAATGAAATGTAATAGAGTGGAGTGTGAGGAATACTGTTTTATGCATTATCTTTTAGATTAAAACTGACATAGCACAACTAATGAAAGTTGATCTGATATTTCTCTTAACATGTTAAAGATATCTATAGAGATAAAAATAGAAAAGAAACACATTAAGCAAGTTCAATGCCTTACAGTGTTTTTAGTCATGGCCCTATAGGAGAATGATTCCACCATGGCACCCTGTCAACCTTGCGTATCCATAAAGGTCACACAAACGAAGATTTGAACCACAGCTAACCTGAGTCTTAGCAGAATGCCTTATGAAGCTCCTGGAACATAAGAGGATGGAATGCATGCAGGGAGCTTCTACAGGGCCGTTTCCCACTCACCTTGCGTTATCTCCTTGTTATTATAAAACAATTTCTCATCGCCTCCTGAATTTTGATGAAACTTCTGGAGTGCCACACTCAGAAAAGAATTTCAGAAACATAAGTTCACTTAGTTGCAGTCTAGAGTTAGAAACAGCAACAGGGCATCCTGCTACTTACACCAAGGTGTACTGTTTTGTTTTAGTGTTGTTTTTTGTTTTACAACAAAGCATAGGAAGCTGGCACCTCTTGCTAATCTTTTTTGCTTGGTAAAGTAATAAAGTAAATAATAAAGTGTTTGAATCTAAAAGTGGTTCACTGTGACTTTATCAGGCTTTAGCTTTGGCCTGGACTTAATTTTTGTGTGCTTGACAACTTTAGCTTAAGAAATTCATTTTGCATCATTGAAAGAGGGCAACAGCTTATCTTTCAGCATTGAATCAACAAAGTTGTTAGTCTTGTTTCATGAGACCTTGCATTCTGCCCTTGGGACCACACAGACACACACTATATCTGTATATCCGTAATACAGTCCCTGAATGTTCTCTGATGTCCAGTTCTTATCCTTTCATTTCGGTGTACAATTTTGTCTAGAGATATGGTTCTGCCAGGTCTCACTTCCACTCTCCCAGGAAGTTAAATACTGCTCTTGAAGTACAATTTTTACAAACAGCTGTCTTTATATATATATATATATATATATATATATATATATATATATACACACACACACACACACACATACACACACACATATATGAACACACACGTCTATATTTTGAGGCAGGGTCTCCTATCACAGTTTTTATAAACAGCTGTCTTTATATATATATATAATATATACATATATTTATACACACACTATATATGTGTGTGTATGTGTGTATATATATATATATATACACACACACATACATACTTTTTTTTTTTTTTTTGAGGCAGGATCTCACTCCTATCACCCAGGCTGGAGTGCAGTTGCGTGATCTTGGCTCACTGCAGTCTCGACCTCCTGGGCTCAGGTGATTCTCCCACCTCATTTTCCTGAGTAGCTGGGACTATAGGTGTGCACCACTATGACCGGCTAATTTAATATTTTTGTCTTTTTAGTAGAGATGGGGTTTCACCATGTTGCTCAGGCTGGGCTCAATCTCCTGGACTCAAGCTATCCACCTACCTTGACCTCCCAAAGTTCTGGGATTACAGGCATAAGCCACTATGCTCACTGTCTTAACATTAATTCAAATATCTCAGGACCTAATTACCCAACTGGAAGGAGCACCTCAAATCACCTGTTAGATTGCATGATTTTTAGTTTTAATGAGCCTGTCTACTTTTGAGCCCAAGAATTGGCAGAAACTATACGACAAAATATATAAAGACAGACTGAACTGAATAATTGAAAGATAAGCTCTCTGAGAAAAGGAATATGGTCTTTTTTTTTTACTACTATTATTTTTGTGCATATAATAGTATTAGGTACAACATAAGTACTCAATTATAATTTTTGATTGAATAAAGAAATACTAGAATAGCATAACATAACATAACACAGCATAGACTAGAACAGTTTGTCCTGAGGGATGGTGAAAAACTTTCTATTATTTTGAAAAGGTACTAATTTCAGTCTTATGATTTAAAGTGTCAAAGAATGACACTGTCAAAAGGAGTTTATATTACATGGTAGCTAATTTTATGTGCTGACTTAACTGGGCTAAGGAATTCCCAGGTGGCTGATACAACATTATTTCTGGGTGTGTCTATAAGGGTGTGTCTGGAAAAAGCTGACATTTAAATTGGTAAACTGAGTAAAGAATATCACCCTCACCCACGTAGGTGGGCATCATCTGATTTATTGAGAGCCTCAATACAGTAGCGAGGTAGATGAATGTGCTCTCTAACTGAGCTGGGGCATCCATCTTTTTCTGTCCTTGGAAATCAGGCTCTTGGTTTTCAGGCCATTGAACTTGGGATGGGTCTTATATAATCAGCTCCAGTTGTTTACAGGCCTTGAGACTCAGACAGAATTACGGTAGCTTTCCTGGGCTTCCGTCTTTTAGACAGCAATTCATGAGACTTAGCTTCTATAATCATGTGAGCCAATTTCTTATAATAAATCTCATTATATCCTTATGTATGCTATTGGTTATGTTTCTCAGGAGAATCATGACAAATGCACATGCATCTTTAGTACCCCAGAGTATTTGTACTGGGTAAGGAGTAGAAGGTGGAGAAATCATTTTGTTCTCTCTTTTAATTGATGGTTTGAGAAAAGAAGCAAGAAAGAAAAAGTAAAAATTTATCTACATAATTTTAGTAACAAAATGTACTACTATGAATGCCACTTTCTATTATAAGGTAGTGGGTTTCATGTAGAGATACAGGTTTACTAAACCATTTGTAAAGAACACACAAGTTGGTAAGAGAAATGCTGACCTGAACTATTAGGTTGGTGCAAAAGTAATTGCAGTTTTGGACCATGAATTTTAAATCATAACTAGGCTCAAACACAGCTTTATTAATCAAAATAGGAACCAATACAATCAACACATTTTTGCCAATGAGAAATAAGTTCGTTTATTCCTGTAGCATAAAAATCCATGCTTCAAGATTCTACGAACTCTTGGAAAGCATTTTCTGCATCCTGCTGGTTGTGGAAGCGTTTTCCCTGCAAAAAGTTGTTAAGATGCTTGAAGAAGTGGTAGTCAGTCGGCAAGAGGTCAGGTGAATATGGCAGATGAGGTAAAACTTTGTAGCCCAATTCATTCAACTTTTAAAGTGTTGGTTGTGTGATGTGTAGTTGGGCATTGTCGTGAAGAATGGGCCCATTTCTATTAACCAGTGCTGGCTGCGAGTGTTGCAGTTTTTGGTGCATCTCATCGGTTTTTAAGATATAATGGTTTTGCCTGGATTCAGAAAGCTGTAGTGGATCAGACTGGCAGTAGACCACCAAACAGTGACCATGACCTTTTTTTGGTGCAAGTTTGACTTTGGGAAGTGCTTTGGAACTTCTTCTCGGTCCAACCACTCAGCTGGTCTTCACCAGTTGTCATATAAAATTCACTTTTCATCACATGTCACAATCTGATCAAGAAATGGTTCGTTTTTGTGATGTAGAGTAAGAGAAGATGACACTTCAACAATGTTTTTGATTTTTGCTCACCTCATGGTGCACCCACTAACCAAGCTTTTTCACTTTTCTAATTTGTTTCAAATACTGAATAACCACACAATGGTCAAAGTTGAGTTCTTCGGCAACTTCCTGTGTAGTTTTAAGAGGATCAGCTTTGATGACTGCTCTCAATTGGTCATTGTCAATTTCCAATGGCCAGCATCGGAAATTGACAATGGAAAAACACTCCATCTTCAAAGCTCTCATCTCCTTTGCGAAACTTCTTGAATACCACTGCCCTGTACTTCCTTAGCAGTTCCTGGGCTAAATGAATTATTGATGTTGCATGTTGTCTCCACTGTTTTACAACCCATTTTTGAACTTGAATAAGAAAATTGCTCAAATTTACTTTTTTCTAACATCTGTAGTCTAATCCGTTTAATACTTTTGCAGTCTAAAATAAACACAAATAGCAAGTAATGTCATTAGCAAAAAAAATTAAGTGAGAACTTCCCATTAAAATGATGTATAAGATAACCACGTTTATTTAATAATGTATTGCAGGCCGGGTGCGGTGGCTCACGCCTGTAATCCCAGCACTTTGGGAGGCTGAGGTGGGCGGATCATGAGGTCAGGAGATCAAGACCATCCTGACTAACGTGGTGAAACCCCATCTCCACTAAAAAAATACAAAAAAATTAGCTGGGCGTGGTGGCGGTCACCTGTAGTCCCAGCTACTCGGGAGGCTGAGGCAGGAGAATGGCGTGAACCCAGGAGGCAGAGCTTGCAGTGAGCCGAGATCACGCCACTGCACTCCATCCTGGGTGACAGAGCGAGACTCCATCTCAAAAAAAAGAAAAGTGTATTCCAATATCAAATGGCAAATTTCAACAATGCAAAAATGCAATTAAATTTGCACCAACCTAATAACAATCTTTTATTTCTATTTTTGTTGGAAAAATTTAAAATAGAGTAAAGAACAAAGACTGAAATACAAACATATATATTCCATCTCCAGAATTACTGTCAATTAAGATTTTATCACATTTAATTTCTGTTTTTTCCCAAATAATAAAATATTACATACATATCTACAATTTGTTTTATCTACTATCATTTTTTTCTGTCCACAGCTATGCCCACAATCACTGCTATCACTGCAATAAGAATTGCAAAAGTTGGACATAGGGATGAGACAAAGATTTGATTCATGAAAATAACTTTCTTTTAGAGGGAAGTGAGCTGTAAATGGAATTCTAAAAATTCCATCATACCTTCCAGGAGAGGTGGATTACCTCTAAACTTAAGCAAAGTGAGTAGAACTTCCTCAAGATTCTTTGGAAGTGATGGTTTGATTTGAGTTTTCTGTTCTTCTGGAAATGTACAGGACAAAAGAGACAGATTGACTAAATGCTTTGATAATTCGGCAACAAAGTCTTACTGATGCTTAGGAATCAGCTTCTACTCTCTGAATGTATTCAGACAAATAATCTAAAAGTTTTCTGTGGACCAAATGAAAAGTGTGGGAAGTTACTGTCTTTAATTTTATCCCATGGAACCATCAAGAGGAGCAAATAGCAACAAATAAGCTTTGGCAGAGGAGAGACGGGGTGAAAAGCTAGATCCCTAGTAGGGAGAAAGCAACTTGACAGAAAAGAGTACATTCACCCAAGCAAAGAGAATTTTATGACTAGACTAAACAGGCAGAGGGGAAAGTTTATAAAGGGGTTGTATAGAGGCAGAATTGTGTCCCCTCGAAATTCATATGTTTTAGTTCTAACCCACAGTACTTCAAAATGTGACTGTTATTTGACAATAGGACCTTAAAATAGGTAATTAAGGTTAAACGAAGTCTTTACAGAGGGCCCAAATCCAAAATGAATGTTTTCCTTATAAGAATAGGAGATGAACACAGGGGCACACACAGAGGAAAGACCACATGAAGTCACAGGGACTTTCTTTTCTCTCTTTAGCTTATAGTCTAGCTGCTTAGCAACTACAAGCCAAAGAGAGAAGAGAAGGAAGCCTCAGAGTACATTAACTCCGCTGACACCTTGATCTTGGACTTTCAGCCTCCAAAACTGTGGAAAAGTAAATTTCTATCATTTAAACCAACCAGTTGGTGGTACTTTGTTATAGTAGCCCTAGCAAACTAATACTATATGATAGATAATTATGAACATCATTCATGAATAACTATGCAGAAAAGAACATGGCATCAAAGACCATGAAGCAAAACTTACAGAAAATATGAGGATAGTTATAACAAACATTATTTTAGTTCTTTACTGAAGAAATATCAAATAATAATAAAGACATTTATTACTTAAATAATTTGACAAATCATCTTGATTGTAGATTTTTTTCTAATGTCTACTGAACAATCACAAATAATAACCATATATAATCGGATTCAGAAGAGAAGGGGAGGGTGAACTTCGGAAGAAATAGCTTCATTATAAATGGAGGAGATGAATGTGCTAATGGTTGGAGAGGAAAATAGCAACAAGAGAGATTGCTTGCTTAAACAATTGTGCTTTAAATAATAGAAATAACATCATGAGAATAATCTAATAGAAATCAATTAGCAATATAGTGGAAAAGGAGAAGACCTACCCGAGTCTAGTGCATGAGTAGACAAAACAGAATGTCATCTAGTATAAGAATGAGCAGCTGGTCATTGCTAAGAGTGCAGAATAATAGGAATGAAGGCGAGTATATGTGACGAGTATAGATGTGGTTATTAAAGGTTGCTGATTGTCTCTTCTGATTATTTTTGTCTTATCAGTGAAACAAAGTGAAATGATACGCTGAGTGAAGGAGATTTTGAAGATGTAAAGAGCAGAAAGATGAATGAAATAATCACCCTCAGGGTTAGGAAAGTGAGTAGCTTAGGAAAAGTTGTAAGTTTGCCAGGGATAATTAAGGGCTCACTTGAGTTTGGTGAGGTGAGACTCATGAGCATGATTGTGTGTTTCATCCCGGTCATGTCCAGATGCTAATCTGTTTGCACAGAGTAGGTAAAGATTTGGACTTAACTAAATTTGTGCGATTGTTAATTTTGGTTTTCCACAATGTGGTATTCTATTATTTGTATCAAACAGAAGATCGCATGTGTTTCAATTCATCTAATATCTTGATAAAAACTGGTCTCAAAAGTTTTCTGTGCAAAAAGGAACTGGGGAAATGACAGATAGCAATGGGAGAAAAGCAAACTGTATGTGCTTTAACATTTTCCATAAGTATAGATTACCTGTGTGATTTATAAAGTGTCATAAGTGTGTTTATAAATAATTTGAATATAAAATAACAAAGTTGAATGAAGCAAATTTTACCTGTAAGATTAATATGAAATTTTACTAAAAAACACAGGAGTAATAGACGACAATAAACTAAGTTTGGGCAAATGATTAAAAACGGCTACTAAAGCCAACAAATAGAACAGTCCAACTCAAATCTAAATATCAGAGTCAGTTTTAAGATAACTATAGTGTTTATATCATGAAAAATTGTTATTTTCCACTTCTGGAAATGTACATGCATATTTAGCTGTCAGATTTTAAGGTTGTGTGTACAAAAGCTTGTTCAAGGGATATATAGCCAGTGATTAAAAACAAGAGTGACTAAACCTTAAAGAGAATGATGTATAGGAAGTTTATAAAATTTGCAAACTGAGCCTTATAGTTTCAATAATTTTATGAATAGTAATTGTCATTTGTTGAGTTGTATCACAATTCATGACATGGCATAAGTGCAAAGAGAGCATATGTGGTAAATCACTTTGCCTCCTTGAAGTGGTAGAGACATGTATAAAGGGGAAAAATTGACCATCATTTGGGTGCCTTTAAATTTTAACTTTCTTATGTTGTACATACACATAACTGAATAAATATATAATTTCAGTCTTTACACTTTAAAATTCTTTAATAAATCAGAATTTCATAAATTAGAAACATGCTAAATGGATGTATGCAAATACAGTACAGTGTTACACATATTGTTGGCATTTATTGTATACTTCCTTGTTAGACCTAATGTTCATTTCTCCCCAAATGTCAATCTTAAGATTATTGTGCCTTAGGTATCATTACTTTTAAACATTAAACCTCATGATGTCTCATAGTTTTCTTCTTGAACCAGGCAGTTATATCTCTAAAGACAAAAAACATACAAACAAACAATTTTTTCTCTTGCTTTGGAGTTAGATCATCTTAACATTTAGTAGTCTGTTTAAATTACACTGACAGTACCTTGGGGAACAGGTACCTGATGAGTAACTTTACAACTGTAATAGCCCAAAGAGAAAGGAGCACATTCTGTTGATTGGATGAGTCTAAGAGAGACATCTGCTGGCTACCTTTGAATAGCTACTCTGAGAAATTGTCAGAATCTGTAGTCCTATTTTTTAATATATAATTAGGAAAAAGAAAAAAATGGAGTAAAATAATTGAGGACACTTACAGAATTTAGTTTATTCAAATAAAGTTGATAATTAGACTATAACCACAAGTTCATAGTTAGACAAACAAGTAGAGGCACTTTAGAAAAATGCTGTAGACGTGCTCATTGATAATGAAGGTCCTTCTTTTAAATAAGAGGATATTATAGCCGCATATCATGTACATAAAGTAATATTAAGTAAATCATTCTGAAACTAATATAGTATTTAGCTGGGCAAAATCGTTATTGCAAGTGAAAATCTGAAAAAAGTGACAAATAACAGAAAACATTATAAAATGTTATCCTCAGATATTAACCCATAAAGTTTTACAATGGTCACACCTTTATATACATATTGGTCTCATAATACCTTTCCTTTTTTCAACTCTATTTATTTATTAATATAAATGGTACTCAAAATGCTCATAAATATTATTATGCAGATTTTTTCTACAATCACCATTTCCAAAGACATCAAGGAGAAGGGGGTATAATTTAAGCAATTTAATCTGTTTGCCACACACTGCCTTATACATACATTGCTTTTAAACAATCCATATAAACAAAAAATTAAACTTCAACAAGTAAAGCAAAGAATGAAAGGCATTGAAAAAAGTAATGTCTCATACACAAGATTGAACATTGGAATTTTAGCCACTTGAAAAGTCTTTCTCTTTCTATATGAGTTAAATAAAAATAGCCAGTGATTATATGTTCAGAAGTGGTTTATTCCTTTGACCAACTTTGCAAAACATAGAAGACTGAACTCAATCTCTTACAGCAAATTTCTTTTGGTTAAAACTAGTGACTTATCTGGCCATTCGATCTGAATCTTTCTCCTATTGGCACTATTGCTGCATTGCACGTTTGATTCCTTTCCTCTGCAGATGAGTTACTACATCAGTGACCTTTGTTTTGTTTTAAAGAATTGTGACATTTCTGTGTATGAGAGTAAGAAGTACCAAAGGCATCTTCCGAAGACCTTCACTTTTTTCTTGTATTAATATCAGCTTCAGTCATGCGGGGTTCACCTAGGGAACATCAATTCTTTAGCTACCAAGGCCTCATGTCCCTTTTCTTTTTCACATGTTCCATAGAAAACACATTTTTTTTGCACTTGTATGCCGTGTGACTCATAAATAATTTCATATTTCAAAAAATTGATCTGAATATTCTTATAGATAAGCAAGATTTTTTTCCCTGGCTTCACCTAATATTTTTTCATTCTTCTTCCCTTCATTCAAATTATCCTTAAGTTAAAATAGAATCATTTTATTAAACTTAACTTCCTATGTTGTTTCAAAAAATTTTTGGAAAAAATGTATTCTGACTAGAAATAGAAACCAATCATTTTCACTTACACATGAAGAAATTGAGATTCAGAGGGAGTAAATGCTTTCCCTGAGGGTTGTTTATTTACTTGGTTTTTAAAAATTTTCTTGTTTTTGTTTTGTTTAATATATTGCTCAGGCTTGCTTTTTATATCATTTTGCCTTTTAAACATTTTTAAAAATTATGTTCTCTCTTAATTAAAGAAATCTTAGATGTTCACTGAATAATTATGTAAGATCAACTTGGAAATCGATGTTAATTTCCAAAAACTATTCTATATCTCCAACTTTATTCTTCTTTAATATATATATTATCGTATGAATTTCTGATTATTACCTACTGACATCAGTATTTTCCTCCTTTTGAATAGTAATCTCAAATCTCTTCTTAGCATGCAATCAATACTTAAAGATTTCGTGGTTTGTACTCCCAATATATTTATATTTACTTTTTTACACATTTGATGAAATAGTACTATATACATATGTTTATATATTATGGAACATTCTGTCAACATTTCAAATGATGAAATAAACATTAAAAATGTATAAGAGGATTATTATGTCCATCCCAATTATTTCCATATTTACAATTTGGCCTAGATACAAATAGTTCATTTAATATGTGAAACAGGACAAAAAACTGACAAGATGTGAAGATAATAAAGTGAACAAAGTGCATCTAATTTTGACCTTAACCTGACCATTGTCCTGTTGAAAGATGATGTATAGAACAATTTGAATATGTTATTTTCCAATGATAGCATTCTAACTTTCTATTCTTTCACTACCTTTGTCCTATTATAATGACTCTTTATATACATCAATATTATCAATGATTCCACATGTTTTCAACCATACAATCTATTCTACCCCAACTCTCTGCTCTATTTTTATGTGAAATCCACCCTTTAATCAACTCCTGCATATCTATCCTTTTCCTCTCACCATCCCTGATCTGCCAACTCTTACAACAAGCTCAATGCAGCTATGCTTTTCTCTTCTCTTCTTTTAATCCTGGGTTATAACTAGAGAGAAAGTTACAGAAAAATTTCACTCTGTGGTACTTCACCTGTCTGGTCCTCACTTTCTGCTGAAACTTCAACGTTTTTTTCAGCATTAATCCTTTTAATATGTATTTCATGTATTTAATCTCTGTAACTGTATATTAAAGATTCACCAGTTTCCTCAAACCCTCTGTCCTTCTCTTTGACTCTTAATCACTCCTTTTTTGTTGAAAACTTTGCCTACTACTTTATTCGGTAAATGGAGGCCATGATGTATGAAATTTAATTTATCCATCTATTTAGCCAATATTTATCAGGCTCTTCATTGTTTTCGACTTTCAGCAATGGAAAAGTGTTATTCTGGGCCTTTATGTTTCATGAGGAAGACTGACGTGGCAGATTCAGTTATTCCCTCACTAGCCTCTTTTCTCATAATTGGGTTTAACTGGAACATAGAATTTAACAGTGATTATGGATGCAGGGTGCTGTAACTGGTATTTTAAATTTTATTTCATCTTTACTTTCTGATATTTTACCTAATTAATCTGTATTAGTTGTATAATTTTTTAAGAGTCTGTATTAAACAGAAATCAATGACTAACCCGTATGAAGCTTAATAAGTAACAAACATTATGCTAAATGATACACGTGGATTATTTTGTTTAATCCTTGCCACATACTGAGAGTTTGGTGATAACTAGGTAGGCAAGTCTGTGTAAATATAAAATGCGAAGGTGAGATTTACAAGTGTTAACCAATTGGCTCAAGGTCAAATATCCATTAAAGATATAGACCTGTGATGTAAATCTAGGCAAATCTATTCAAGGAGCACATGCAATTAATCTTAGAATAGGAATTTCTAAGTAGCACAGGCATTTCTAAAATATCAATGAATCCTTGGTTGAATCTACTAAAGAGTTGATATTTATCAACCACTCCCAATTTCTGGCTTACAAAGATACTTAAAATTAAGAACAAAACCTGTGATGTGTCCTCAGACGCTCCACAGGATGTGGTCAGTGTCTACCCCTACCACCTTCATATTGAACCACTATTATTTTAGACTCTGAAGCCCAAGCCTCATGGGCTGTTTGTTATGTTTGTTCAGTGAATACTACATGATCTCTTTTATGTCACATCTTTTGCATGTGATATTCTTCCTGTCTGTGAAGATCTTCACAACCACACATACCTATCCCACTTCAACTACTGTACACCATTAAGTCACTGTGATTGCAAATACAATAATGTTTTAGTTAATTTTTTTAGTCTGATATAATTGTAGATACCTGTGAATTTGTAACAAATAATATAGAGATAGCTAGTCAACCCTTCACTCAGCTCCCTCCAGTGTTAAAATTGTGAATGATTATAGCACTACATAACAACCAAGAAATTAGCATTGATATAATCTATTATTCAATTTTTATGTTATATTTGAATTAATTTCTGTGTGTGTATTTATTCCTATACAATTTGATCATATTTGTAGGATTGTGTGACTATCACCAAAGCCAACATACAGAAAAATTCCATCATAAGGATCCTTTGTGAACCCTTTTATAGCTTAAGCCACCTCTCTTCATAATTCCAGGCAACTACTAATTGTTCTCTATCTCTATGATATTGTCATTTTTTAAAGAATTTTATATAAATGGAATTTGTTTAAACTCTTTAATTTTTTTCTCTTTTTTTCTTTCTTTGGTGATAGTCTTTTTATTTTTTGGGACAGTTTTACATATACAGAAAAACCATGAAAATGAATCAAAGAGTTCTAATATATTCAGTTTCCTGATAGTTAGCATCTTATATTAGTATGGTACAATTGCTGTAATGAATGAAAGAAATATTGATACATTAGCATTAAATTAGATGTTTTATTCATATTTTCTTAGTGTTTACATAACATTTTTTTTCTTTTCCGGGATCCCATCTAGAATACCATATTATATTATATTTAGTTGTCAAGTCTCCTTAGGTTTGTCTTGGCTATGACAGTCTCAAGATGTATTTGTTTTGGTGGTCTTGAAGGTAGTGTTGGATATTGTGAAGAATATCTCTCAACTGGATTGTCTGATGTTTTCCCCCATGATTAGACTGAGATTACCAGTTATGGGGAGAAAGACCACAAAGGTAAAAGTGTCATTTTTATTTTCATCACATCTTATCAAGAGATATGCTATGAATATGACGCTGTTGCTATTTCTTTGATCATCTAGCTGAGATAATGTTTGTCAGATTCTTCCACTATAAAGTTTTTTTGTTTCCTTTTCAAAACTGTACTCTTCGGAAGGAAGCCACTATGAGTAGTCCATACTTAAGAAGTGTGGAGTTATGCTTTACCTCCTTGAAGGTGGAGTGCCTACATAATTATTTGGAATTCTTCTGACCAAGTGGTTTCCCTCTTCTCCTCCATTTATTCATTAATTTTATCACTTTATATCGGTATAAATTTATGAATGCTTATTTTATATTTTTTGTTATAATTCAATACTATTTTATTTTATTGCTCCAATTCTTCCAGCTTTGGCCCCTGGTGGCTCTTTAGTTAGCTCTTCTGTCACTTTCAAGTGAATGTGGGATTGTTTTTGTTGTTGAGGCATCCTCATTTTCTGTCCAAACAAGATGCTCCAGGCTCATCTTATATATTTACTTCCTCAGTCCTAGAAATAGCCATTTATCTAAGGAGATTCCTCTTCTTGAAGAATAGTGTTAGAAACTAAAATCTGGTGGCTACATGTGCTCAGTAAGTTACCTTATGAGGCTGGCTATTTTTTTTTTTTTTTACTCAGTGTAAATCCCTTGAGATTCATTCAAATTCCTGTGTGTTTCAATAGTTTGTTCCATTTTATTGCTGAGTAGTATTTCGTAGTATAGTTGTAGCAGAGTTTAACAATTCACCTATTGAAGGACATCTGAAATGTCTCTATTTTTAGAATATTACAAATAACATTTGAACTGTGAGCATTTATGATCTCTGAAAGTGCAGTGGCTGGGTCATATGGTTGAGACATGTTTAGCTTTATAAGAAACTGGAAAGATGTTTTCCAGAGTGGATGTATCATTTTACCTTCCAGTCCCACCAGCAACCTATTATTCATCAAGTTTCTCTGTATCCTTGCCAGCATTTGCTGTTATTATTATTATTATTTTAATCTGTTTTATTAGATGTGTAATAATATTTTACTGTAGTTTAACAATAATGTTTTATGTACTGCTTGGAAAGGAGGAAGAAAGGAGGGAAAGAAGGAAAGAAAGCAGGCAGACAGGTTTGTTACCAATTAAGGATGCTTCACTGATTGTTGTTTATTGAATTTAAAATGTTAAAACATGACAAAAAAGTGCACCATAGAATTAATAATAAGTAGCTAGTATCTGTTCATCCTTCATATATCAGATAATAGCCTACTTTCTCATAGTAGCTTTGCTTGATCCTACAGCCTTGATGAGATCACCTACTTACATATTGTAGTAACTCACTGTTCATTTTCTCTGTAGTACTAATAATACTTTTAATTATATCCATGTGTATTTAATTGATTAGTTTCACCCTTCTCACTAGACTACACTCCATGAAAACAGAGACTTTACCTACTTTACTTACTACACTATCTCCAATGCCTACTCCAGGTTTTGACATACAGGTGCTCAATACATATTGTTAAATTATCATATAGATGTATTCTTAATTAATTAATACATGTTTGAAATGATGTAATTTAATCTTCTTAAAGTTCTGTTTATTTATTTACAAATAGAAAATTGATTTAGATCAATTATAAGACTTCAGACTTCCAGTTACAGGGACGTGATAAATGATAAACAATTTTTTCCTTTATAAATTGCCTTATCCCCAGCCTCAACATGGACAAATGCATCAAATCACCTTTGTAAGTTGGTATATCTTCCCAGTAAGCTTCAGTGTTTAGGTATCTTGTGGGAGGAGGCCATGGTTCTTGCTGTTTTTATATTTATTTAGAAATTAAAATAATCTTAGACACATAAAAAAGAAAATACCCTAGTACCTAATAAATATTTGGTTGATTGGGATAATATTACAAAGAAAATCTTATCAATACAGAGAGATTTTAAATTTTAATAGTTAGTGATCTATAGTTGTAAGTTATTTCAGAATTACTCAAATACTGAGGTTAGTACAGATTAATTTCAATGTATTTATTGAAAACAGTTTCATGACACAAATGATTCACCAAATTTATTACTAGATGAATAAAAGTTAAATTATGTGCTATGGGCTAGGATAGCCAATCCACTAAAATTCAGTGTTTAACATCTCCCCAGTAAAAGAGGAAGTAATAAATAATATTCAGTATCAATCAGTAAACAGCACCTATGTACATTTTGATGGGAAAGGAAGCTAAAATCACTGTCAAAGGGCATGGTTGGCTATGAGGTTATTTTAAATTAAGTGTAGAATGTTCTCCAAATAAATCGTATTATGTCTAAGCAATTTTCAGTCCTTTATGCCATAGCATATTCTTACATAAAGATTGATAAATAAAGCATAATTCAATCTTTATATATGGAACAACTTGAGAAAAATAGATAACTTATCGGTGCATATGAGCAATCTAAATTGTCTAATTAGATAATTTAGGCCTAATTGCCTCATGTTTAAACAAATAGCAATTTAGGTGCTTTGTTCCTTCCTCTCAATTTTGTCCTAAGAAGTGCTGATAGAGTCTGCTATCCCTTGAAGTTTGATTTCTCCTCCTTAGTTTTAGCCATACACATAGAAAGCTACTTATCTGTAATCTATATCCCTAGCTTGTCTTTGCAGAGCTAGATTGATTCCAATTGGATGCTAGCAGAAGTTATATAGAGCTTCCAAGTCACAGCCTTAAAGAAGATTGAGTATCTTTAGTTCCACTGACTAGGAAAAGAATGGTTAACACTTCATTTAAAAAATGAGAGTGAAATAAGGTAATTCATGTAAAACATAATAATATTGGATATTATTAATTACATTATCAATTATATGTTAGTTATTGATTGTTGTTCTTATAAAATACTGTAAAATAAAAATTTTAAATTGGCAACTCCAAAGAAAATGTCATCAGAATGAAGCCAGAATTCTATATCCATTATGAAGTGTGATCTTGAATTTCACTCGGAATCTCCTGAAGCCAAAACAAAATAAGAAAATGTGGCTACTTGCACAATCTACTCTGTCCATGAGAAACTGTTGTGTCTGAAGGAGAAACAAGAATTCTAAATACTGATCTATTAAAGTAATTTCTTTCATGACCTTTTAATAGATGAACAGTAAGCTCTGTACCTACTTCTGTACCTCTGTCAATATAATTTGAGGTGAAACTTCAAAGCTTAATGAGGTAAATGCAGTTCTGTAGGAGTCAAGAACAACATACAGGCAGAATGGCAGCATGTGTAAAGATAGAAACTGACTTATAAATCTGGATTTGGTCTTACCTGTAAATTTTTAGGCAAATTACTTCCTTAAACAAATGTAGACCCTTGGAGTGCCTAGGAGACTAATAATGCAAATTCATTCAGTGTCAAAGAAAAATTTAAAAATGCACTGAGATTATTTTTATTAGCTATTTATACCACGTTAGTAGCCAAGGTTTTTTGAAGAGGTCACAGGAACAAATTTATTTTCAGAATAGCAAGGCACATTTCTTATGGCCAGAAGAATTTTCTGCAGAAATAATCGGTCCTCACAGGGAACCAGGGACTTGGAAAGCCTGAAACTTCATGTGGGAAGATGTTGTATTGTTCCCAATTCTTATGGTTGTTTTGGTAGTTTCCATGTAAGAGAATTATATCACTTATATTTCTCAGTTGACATCTTTCCATCAATCTTTCCATCTACCTCAAAGGTTGGGGTCAGAATATGGACTAGCACAAAGACTCAAAACCTAAATATTAGGTTGATTTGGGGGAATTAAGAACAACAACACAACAACAAAACTTGGAAAAGGAAATGATACTAGAATGCTAGGACTTTACTCAGACCATTTAAGCAAAGACCTTATATGGATTTTCAATGGAATATGACTATTATTTCTTTTGGGGTAGCTTAGCAGACTGCATTTAAAAAAATATAGTTCAAAATGGTGAAGTGGACATTTCTCCATTAGATTCTGGAATTCCATTAGTTTTAACTAAAGAAGTAGACATGCCTGAGTTTCCAACAGAGGCTGAAAGCAATAAGCACTCAATAAGGAATGTAGTGGGTAAGCAAAACAGGAGCAAAAAGTGTTTTTTGACATAAGTACATGAGGTGTTAGTGTTAGAAATGTTAATGGGTCAGAAGACTCATTCAACTCCATTCTCTCTGAAATGGAAGTTTGTGATACCTAAAATTTACAAAGGCTGGGGATTTCTTTGACCCAAACATGCAGACTGAAGACTTGTGAAACACACACGTGTGTGTGTGTGTGTACATATATATGTGTATATATGTACATATATGTGTATATATATGTGTGTGTATATATATATATGTTTTTAAAAATTGTTTTCAGAGTACAGAGTTTTAGAATGGATTTCATACTTGGACAATATTCCTTGTGAGTATAGAGACAGAAGTACTTAGGTGACACGTAGAATTTTCAGTGCTAGCATGTTATATAGTAAGACTTTTTCCCAAAATATCTCTGAATAATATGAATGATGCCTGGCCGGTGAGAGAGATTCTGTGGGTGAATGTTTGGCTAACATGTCAAAGCAGTTTGACTATTACCAGAGTTATCCATGATTCCATAGTACGCTAAATTGGTTCAAAGATATGAAGATCAAAGGGTTAACTAACTTTTCTCCTTCAGGCATGATTGTGTTTAAGGGAAGATATTTTGCTGCAATGGAGCCAAAAGAGATAAGTGGAGAAAGCTGGAAATATGCCCAGCTTCTCTAATCCTAAGATCTTTGGGAAAATAACTATTTTCTTTTCTTATTCCCTTGAGGTGTTTTACTAATCATGGATCTTACTAAGCTTTCTTAGGAAGGGAAAGCATCTGGCAAGGAGTAAAATGTCTGTCTCCAACAATTGTCCCTGTTCCCACTACTTTTTAAAAATGTCCTTAGTAAAAAGTGTATATGAGGCAAGATTATATTGAAAAAATGAATATAAGAAAAAAATATTATGTTAGAGAGAAACGTATTCAGCATAGTTATCAAAATCACAAACTGTTAGGAACTCTGACATCAGGATTGTTCTCCATAAGCAGCAAGAGGAACCTAGAGTAAAAAAAACCCAAACAGACAACAAAATAAAACAAACAAACAAACAGAAAAAAACGCAGTGGCAGAGTCCAGAGGGCAAATTGAAACAGCTTTATCAATTATTAAAATATATCTTCAAGCTTCAAAATTAATATAGCATTGTATTGATTCATAGATAGGACATAGAAAAGTTGAGCAAAAAGTTCACATATAAACCCAAATAGACACAAGAATGTAATATATAATAAATATGGTCCCTCAAATTATAATAAAGGTGCACTGTTAAAAATTACTAATGGGAAATCTGAATCATTCAGATAAATGTGAAGTTTGAATGTCTCCTTACATATACTCATATCAGGATATATATCAAGATTTCAATATTAAAAACATAAATTTTCTAGAAGAGCTAGTTCAGTGCAAACAAGTGAAATAATGAATGTAGTAGAAATATGTTTAATTTCCTTACACATAGAGAATATGTGTAAATTCATTTATAAACTTGGAGACGGTTTTTCCAATTATGATTTGATATTTGGAATCCATAAAGAAAAATATTGCTAAATTTTCTTATACAAAAGTCAAAATGTCAACAGATGTTTAATTTTTCTTATACAAATGTCAACTTCTGGGTAAAAAATATAGAAAAAAAAAGCCCACTGTGACCAAAGTCAGGAAACAATTGACAAATTAGGAAAAATGTATTTTCAACTCATCTACCTAAATTAGAAGTGCTAATCTTCCTAATTATATAATGCTATGTCTAATGCTAAAATTCGTGTCTTGGAAACTTAATCCCCAATGCAACAGTTTTAGAAGGTGGGGCCTTTTTGGGGGTGTTTACGTCATGAGAGCTCTGTCATCATGAATGAATTAATGCCTTTATAAAAGGGCTTAACAGAGAGTTTGCTTCTTTTAGCCTTTCACCTTCTGCTATGTGAGAACACAGCATTTTCTTCTCTGAAGTGCACAGCTTAAAGGGCACCATCTTGAAAGCCAAGAGCAGCTCTTATAAGACACCAGACTTGATGGAACCTAGATATTGGGTGTTCCAGCCTCTAGAACTTTGAGAAAATAAATTTCTGTTCTTTAGAAGTTACCCAGTCTCAGGTATTTTGTTATGGCAGCACAAATTGACTAAGGCAGAAATTGATACTAGAAGAGTGGAATGTGGCTATAAAAATCCCTAAAACTGTGGAACCAGCTTTGAACCTTAGTACTGGGTAAAGGTTAGAATATTTTTTAACTAGTAAATAATAATTGTATATATTTATGGGGTACAATACAGTGTTTCAGTACATACATATATAATGATCAAATCAGGCTAATTAGCATATCCATCACTTCAAATATATATCATTTTTTGTAGTAAGACTATTTAAAATCTTCCTTTTTAGCTGTTTTTAAAAATAGAATACATGATCATTAACTATATTCAACATATTGTGCAGTAGATCCCCAAAACTTATTCCTCCTGTCCAACTAAATCTTTATACCATTTGACCAACATCTCCCCTTTCCCCGTTCACATTCCCCACCTCTAGTAATCACCATTTACTCTCTACTTCCATGAATTTGACATTTTTAGACTTCACATATAAGTGTTATCATATGGTATTTGTTTCTCTGTACCTGGCTTATTCTACTTAGTATAATGTTCTCTGGGTTCATTTATATTGCTGCAAACAACAGAATTTTCTGTTTTTAAGGCTGAATAATATTTCATTGTGGATATATAACACATTTAAAAAATCCATTCATTCCTTGATGGACAATTTGTTTATTTTTATATCTTGGCTCCTGTGTATAGTGTTGCAATGAACATGAAAGTGTAGATATCCTTTCAAGATACTGATTTCAATTTCTTTGGGTATATACCTAGAAGTAGGATTGCTGGATCGTATGTTAATTCTATTTTTAGCTTTTTAACCTCTGTACTGTTTTCCAAATTGGCTGTACTAATTTACAATATTCCCAGGAGTGTGCAGGGTTTTCTGTTCTCCATATCTCATCAACACTTATTATCTTTTGTCTTTTTAATAATAGCTCTGCTAACAGGTATGAGGTAATATGTCATTGTGGTTTTACATCTCTCTGGTGATTAGAGATGTTGATGATTTAAAAATACATCTGTTGGCAATTTGTATGTCTTTTTTGAGGAATATCTATTCAGTCCTTTGCTCATTTTAAAAATAAGGTTATTTTGTAGTAGTTTGAGTTCCTTGTATATTTTAGATATTTGCCTCTTACCTGATGTATGATTTCCAAATATTTTTTCAATCTATGAGTTGTCTCTTCACTTTATTAATTTTTTTTGCTATGCAGAAGTTTTTTTAGTTCAATGCAATCCCATTTGTCTACGTTTGATTTTGTTGCTTGTGCTTTTGGTGTCTTATCCAATAAGGCACAATCTCATGGAGATTTTCCTCTATGTTTTCTTCTATTAGTTTTACAGTTTCAGGTTTTATATTTAAGAATTTGATTAATTTCTAGTTGATTTTTGTACATAGTGTAAGATAAAGCTCTACTTTTATTCTTCTGCATGTGGATATCCAGTTTTCCCATCACAGTTTATTGAAGAGACTGTTCTTTCTGAATTGAGTGTTCATGCACCATTCTCAAAATTCAATTGACCATAGATGTGTGGTTTATTGCTAGGGTCTTTATCCTATTCCATGGGTTGATGTGTCTGTTTTTAATGCCAGTACCATGCTGTTTTGATTACCATACCTTTGTAATATACTTTGAAATCTGTTTGTGTGTTGTCTCCAGCTTTGTTCTTTTTCAATCTTTGCTCAAGATTTTTATGGCTATTCAGGATGTTTTGTGGTTTCATAAAAATTATTGGATTTTTTTTTCTATTTTTATGAAAAATGATACTGGAATTTTGATAGGGATTGTATTAAATCTATAGACCACTCTGTGTGATGTGGACATTTTAATAATGTTAGTTCTTCCAATCCGTTAACATGGAATATTTTTTCATTAATTTATATTATCTTTAATTTCTTTCATCAATGTTTTATAGTTGTATAGATATCTTTCACTTCCTTGGTTAAATTTATTCCTGAGTAGTTTTTTTTTTGATGCTATTATAAATGAGACTGTTTGCAGAGGCTGGAACAGTTTTGAAGTTAATGCTGGAGTATGCCAGAGGGCACAACCAGTGAGCTTTGGCAGCAACCACATGGTGCTAATTCTGTAGGCACAGGATACAGAAGTTCTGGAGGGCTGGCCTTCTCCCCTAGATTTCAAAGGATGTCTCCAGAAGCCTCCCAGGGAGAGAACTGCTGCAGGGGCAGAACCACCACAGTCTCTGGTTAGGCAAGGCTGTATAGTAACCATGGGGGATGGGCTGCCTCAAGAGCCCTTACTGTAGAGCCACAGCATGTAACACCAGCTTGGGAGGGCCACGATCTCCTAATTGCAACCTGTAAGAGAAGCATGATCAATGCCCATCAAAGCTGTAGGAGTAAGGCCATCAGGAGCGTTGAGGACTCACCCCTTACTTCAGTGCCTGTGGACAGTAGGACATGGAGTAAAAGATTATTCTCAAGCCTTGAGATTTAATGTTGCCCTGTTGGGTTCTCAACTTACTTGGGACCTGTTGTCCCTTTATTCTTTTTTATTTCCCCTTTTTGGAATGGCAATATCTGACCTATATCTGTCCCACAATTATATTGTGGACATAACTTGTTTGATTTCACAAGATTACAGTGGGAGAATTTGTTTCAGGATGAATTGTACCTAAAGTTTCACCCATATGTTGTTTAGGTAAGACTTACGTCTTAGACTTTACAGTTGGTGCTGGAATGAGTTAAGACTTTTTGGTACCATTGGGATGGAATGTATGTATTTTGTTTGTGAGAAGGATGTAAAGTTTGGGGGCCAGAAGTAGAATGCTATGGCCTAAATATGTCCCCCAAATTTTATATGTTGGAAACTAAATCCCCGATGTACTAATGTTGAAAGGTGGGGCCTTTCTGGAAGTGTTTATGTCATGAGGGCCCTTCCGTTGTGAATGAATTAATGCCATTATAAAAGGGCTTGACAGAGGAGGTTCACCCCTTTTTGCTCTCTATCTTCTGTCATGGAGGGACATACCATTCCTCCCCTCTCACAAACACAGCATGCAACTCATCATTTTGGAAGGAGAGAGCAGTCCTTTCCAGACACTGGATATGTTGGCACCTTAATCTTAGACTTCCCAGCCTCCAGAAATGTGAGAAAATAAATTTCTGTTTTATGTAAATTATCCAGTCTCAGGTGTTTTGTTATAGAAGCATAAATGGACTAAGACATGCAAATACTTCACAGATACATAAAATATGAGATATTGAAGAGAGAAATCACAGAAAAATAAATTCAAATGTTTTCAAAAAATAATTTTTGTGAGTCTTCAAACTTACTCGTGAGACATGCAAATTAGAAATAAAGCAAGATTTATTTTTTATATTTATGATTAACAAACATGCAAAATGATGAGAAAATATTCTTTCCCAAACTAAGGAGAAACAGGTTCTTTCATACATAGATGGTGGGAGAAAAAATGGTGTACTTCTAATGAAACAAGTTTTAGCAATATCTCTAAATAAATGCTTCTAGCCTATGAACAACACATCTCACTGGGAATTTATCTTACATATGTTTCTGCATAGATTGGATAAAGTATTGCATAAAGTAATACATTGAAATATAGTCTGTAACACCAAGAAAGTGGGAACAACCCAAGTATTTATTAATAAAGGACTACTAAAATAAACTATAATACCATTATCATAAAGCAGAAAAAGATAATAAGATAACTTTCTATATTATAATATTAAAGAGCTCAAGATACATATGATGAAAAAGCCAATCTTTAGAATACTGTATAGAGTAAGTTTTATTTTTTGGAAGAAAGAGGAAAGTAATTGTATACAATTATAATTGCATAAAGCCACCTTGGAGTGATGCATCCAAAAGTAATGACAGTGGTTACCTCAAAAGCATTGAGGTGGGCTAAATTAGGCTGACAGTGATGGGTAGGCCTTCAACATGTTCTTTAAAATTGTATGCCTCTTGCATTTTGAACTATATGAATATATTACATATCCTAAATGAATGCAAATGGAAAATATATAAAAATTTAAAAGGCAGTTAGTCAAAATATTATATTCATAGCATTTTTGTTGCTGAAATAGTCCCAAACCCCTTTTTTTTAACTGATGAAAGAACATACTGAGGCATATGGCTTTGTCAAGTTCACAAAGAGATTTTCAGAACAAATTAGACCTGCAGTAATATACATTGTTAACATCTGGCTAATGTTCCGGTGAGTCTTTCTAAGACACATCCTCAAGTTCAGTCTTCACAATGGAGGCTGCACATTGTCAGGGAAATATGTATATCCAGGTTGAGAGTCAAAATGGAAGTGCATTTGCCTTCTTGCTCAGATTATCATATGTTACAAATAAATGTGATAGGTCAAGATAAAACCCATAAAGTTGATCTACAAGGACCAACTAACAAACAAAATTAAAGGAGGTGTGCAACATGTGGAAATGTTCCTCATAAGTATCTATGGTACATCTGTGAATGGAAACAAAATCGTATGCTCTTAGGTGTGCTTATCGAGATAGGAAATAGACATGAGTAATTTGCTTGTAAGGTGAGATTGTGCTATCTTAAATGCAGCAGAAATGTTACAATTGAACATTATCAATAAAGTGAATAAAAAAGTTTCTCTTTCATCAAATCTTCTAGGCTCTAGAGTTGAAGTTTTAAAAAATGAATGTTAACTTTATATTATAAAATATTATCTGTTGACTTTCACAAAGTTTTTAAATTATTAGTTTATATTTTTCCAAGTTACTCTAGTATTATATTGAAAATCTCTTAATAGCATGTTTTCATGATCTCTGAATGTCATAAAGAGTTGTAGTTTTTTCATGTTTCTATAATATATATTTAACTGTCACCATAATTGCAAGTTTTTAATCTTAAACTAAAATTTTGTTCATTATGCTACAATGAATCAAGGAATAACATGAATGAACAGACACAAAATATTCTTTTTCTGTTTTTAATCTTCATCTTAAAGTATAATTTCTATGAAACAGCAGAGTTTACAAGGGATTAAATTAATATGGAAAGCTTTAAATCAAGACCTATTATCTATATTCATAGTGTTTAGGAATATAAGACTTTAGAATTAATCCTGGATTTTTGTTTCTCTTTTCCATTACTCTCCTATGGTATGTAATGCAATGTTTTGTTTTGTTTTGTTTTGTTGCTGAAAAAGGCATTAAAAACTCCCACTGGGAGCTGAAAAATATAACAGTGGTTTTCCAAAATGTAGATCGAGGAAAATTAGTTTGTTTCATATTTTTTTTTTGCACCATGCTCTGGGGTCTTTTGATCACCTATTATTTATCCTGCTGGTGAGGAAGATATCGTCTCCTTTACCTAATATGAAAAAAAAAACAAATATATGATGACCAATATTGCACAAATGAAATCAAACAAGTTTATTGTTAAAACATACCCATAGCTCCAGAGTAGTATCAGGCATGACACAAGGCCATGCAGAGGGTGCACAGGGGACAAAGCTGAACAAGCAAGGGCTGTGGGAGGCAGGCTTGGTAGTAATGAGAGGGTGAAGTACCTGAGAAAGATACGAACTTGTTCTAATAACTTGTTTGAGGTGGCAGGCATAAAAAACCTGTTAGGTTGAGGACCAGATGGCGAGCAGCTGCCTCACCTGATCCAACTAGCTGGGTCAGAGTATGTCTGTTGAGAGCAAGGAGACTCACCTTTAGGCCTTTTGTGCCCCACAAGGTTCAACAATGTGAAAGCAGCGGCATGTGAAATTGTAGGCTTATAATACTTAAGATTGTAGTCTAAAATATTATAGTAGTCCTCCCTTATCCATTGATTCACTTTCCGTGATTTCAGTTACCCACAGTCAACCAGGGTCCAAAAATATTACATGGAAAATTCCAGAAATAATTCATAAGCTTTAAATAGTGTGCCATTATGAGTAATATGATAAAATCTCACACCATCTCACTTGGTTCCACCCATAACATGAATCATCACTTTGTCCAGTGTATCCAAGCTGCACACACTACCCACTTAGTATCCCTCTGGGGTATGATATTAACTGTTGCGGTATCACAGTGTTTTTGTGCAATTAACTCTTTACTTAATAATGGTGCCAAAGTGCAAGAGTAGTGATGCTGGCATATTGTTATAAATGTTCTACTGTATTTTTAGTCATTGTTGTTAATCTTTTACTGTTCCTAATGTAGAAATTAAACTTTATCATAAATATCAATATATAGGAAAACATATAGTGTATGTATAAGCTTTGGCACTAGCACAGTATTAGGCATCTACTGGGAGTCTTGGAACAAATATATTTCCATTTCTCCCTGTATTAGTCAGGGTTCTCTAAAAGGACAGAACTAATAGGATAGATGTATGTATGAAGGGGGGTTTATTAGGAGAATTGACTCACACAATCACTAAGTGAAGTCCCACAACAGGTCACCTGCAAGCTGAGGAGCCAGGAAGCCAGTCCAAGTCCCAAAACCACAAAAGAAGGGAAGCTGATAATGCAGCCTTCAGTCCGTGGCTGAAGCCTGAGAGCCCCTGGCAAATCACTGCTGTAAGTCCAAGAGTCCAAAAACAGAAGAACTTGGAGTCTGATGTTCCAGAGCAGGAAGCATCCAGCATGGGAGAAAGACAGAGGCCGGAAGACTCAGCCAGCCTCGTCCTTCCAGGTTCTTCTGCCTGCTTTTCTCCTAACTACTCTGGCAGCTGTTAGATGGTGCCCACCCAGATTGAGGGTAGGTCTGCCTCTCCCAGTCCACAAACTCAAATGTTAATCTCTTTTGGCAGCACCCTCACAAACACATCCAGAAACAATACTTTGCAGCCTTCAATTGGATCAAGTTGATACTCAATATCAACCATCACACCCCCTATAATGGGGTACTATTGTTTACTTCTCATGAGAGAAGTTTCCTATTTGCTTTTTGTTTGCTTTTGTTCTTCCGTAGACTAAATTTTCTTGTCTCCCTGAAAGCTCAAGAGATACATCATTCTTTTATGTGAAATGTTCAATATTGCACAATTAAAATCTTATATAGCACCCCCAGCAACTGAAATAGCTAAAAGGATGGACTGCGGATTTAACAACAAAAAGATTATATTGATATGTAAAAATTTTAAGGCATATGTATAATTTTATGGAGCATTCTATTGTGATGATTTTATTCTCCATAAAATATAAAGAGGTAATAGGCCATGTGTTAAAATGAAAAGAGAACACAGAAACTAGTGTAGGAAACCCGAGTTCCAATCCTGGTTCTTTTGGAAGTAATTTAATAGTTCCAGTCATCGGTTTCTCCAGTAAAAAATAATAATGGTGAAACAAGATGAATTTTATTTTCCTCCTTTCTCCAAGATTATTTTAATCTAAGTTCACATGTTTTAAAAATATTTGCACAGTATCTGTGCATATTTTGTTTTTAGTTCTGTAAAAACATGGCCCAAGGATGATGAAACAGACCGCTATCAAAAGATAATGGTGTCTGCCTGTAATCCCAGCACTTTGGGAGGCCAAGGCAGGTGAATTACCTGAGGTCAGGAGTTCGAGACCAGCCTGGACAACATGGTGGTGAAACCCCATCTCTACTAAAAATACAAAAATTAGCCAGGCGTGGTGGCATAAGCCTATAATCCCAGCTACTCCAGAGGCTGAGGCAGGAGAATCGCTTGAACCTGGGGGATGGAGGTTGCAGTGAGTGGCGATTGTGCCACTGAACTCCAGCCTGAGTGACAGAGCGAGACTCCATCTCAAAAAAAAAAAAAAAAAAAAGATAATGGTGTTGATCAGCTGATACAGAAAGGGAGAGAGGTTAAGAGCAAATGCTTCCAGTAAAACATTTTACTGATGTTTACCTTGTTGATTATGCACTGACTCATTGATTTATATTGTAACATTGCAGCCACTGTAATAATTAATATATGGTATTTACAAAGACATCAACATTAAAAGACAGCTATAATTATATAATATTCATGTTAATAAAAGTTGTTGAGATAAAGTGTAGCCGCTGCTGTTTAAGAGAATTTGCGCCATTATGAGAAGATATTTTGAAGAAAAGCATCTGCTTTCCATTGCAGAGATTATATTTATTCTTTTAGAATGTATTGAACACAAGATTGGGTGAAAATGAGTTAACTACAACAACAAAAATGAAGGGGAAGCAGTTGCCCTGTTTTCTTTTCCCTTAGTACTTCTGGGAAATGCAAACACAAAGAGAAAGATCTAGCTTTGGTAGAAAGGACAAGGGAATAAAAATGAAACTCAAAACTACTGCAGACGAAAGAGTAGAGTGTATGAACATTCCTTTTCCTATGTAGGTTTGGGGAGACTATTATTTTGTTGTTGTAGAGTGTGAGGTGTGTGATACAGTTGTGTTGTTGTTAGTGGATTCTTGAGGCATTATATGTTAATCTCTGTTCTCCATTTTTTCCCCTCTCACCTGTTGAAAATGTTTGTTTGTAGGCGATTTTGTGTTTTGAAATGGTTGAAGAAACTAAGTGGGGCTGATGGTAGAAGAAGAAAAGTTTAGAATTGGCCTGAAGTTTAGTTGTGAGTAACGATAAAAGTAATGAAATAATAAAAGTAATGAAAAAGCGCTTTTTATCTTTTTCTAAATTGCCCAACCACTTTTATTGGAATAGGACAAATAGGAATGAAGTGGGAGAACTTTTCTGTCCAGGAATGTCACGGATTTGTCTGAACCTTCCCTTTTATTCATCTTTCTGGATGCCACTCCTGTGGCTAGACAAAGTAGGTTAGGGATCCAGAACCTTGCCAACAGTATATCCAAACTAAACTGTGAAGTAAATACGTTTTATAAAATCAGCTGCAACTGAGCTTTCATGTTGACAGCATCATCAAATGTTTTATATAATCTAAGTCTATGGACTATTGAATGAAATTGATTTTTTAAAGTTTTTATGCTTTTTCAACTTTCTCTGAGAAGTCTTCTCAGAGGAGTCTTCTATATGTTCTTTATTTTAGTACATTATTTTGCTATTGATTGTTAGAATTACGATAGACCCCCCCACACACACACATTTCACTAGCAGCAAGCAATATGAAATTAGTGATCAGGTTGTTCATCTGTGTTATCCCAGTGTGGAGTAGAATGATGAAACATAAAAAGCAAGCAGTAGTCAGTTTCGTTCTTAACCCCTCTTTCGACTGCTTCTCGTAGCACCCACACCTTTATTATCCACTTGTCAAAATTTTACCAATCCTTAAAGTCTTATCTGAAATACAATCTTCTGTAAAGTATTCATTTTTACTTTGCATCTTAATCAAGACATTACTTTCCCTCTGCAACCAATAGCATTTTGTGTTTCTTGTACTGCTCATCTTATTGTTTCTAGAATTAAAATTGTGCATGTATGCTTTATCACTAGTAATAAATCCAGACAATTTATTCCCTTAGAAATATTTGTTGAATGCTTACTAGGGACCTGTTTTAGTTTATTTAATTACATCTTTGAACAAAATGAACAAGATATTTTGCTTTATGGAGTTTATATTCTAATTGATATAGACAAATAAGTAAAAGTAAAACAGTGTGAGAGATATGGCAGTGACAGGGGTTGGGGTTGCAGAGTAAAATACAATGACCTGGATAGGATATGTTGAGAAAGTAAAGACTCGATTATTAGGGTTAGCTTTATGGATTTTTGGGGTTGGGGAAATTAAGAAGCTTGTTCCAGGCAGAGGAGACATCGAGTGCAATGAATGCCCTAATCCCAAAGCAGGATTAAGGTAAGTAAATCAGAACAATGGAGTGGAGCCCAGTGTAACTGGAGGCAGTCTTGTTTGGAAGATTGCAGTGCGGTAGATGATGACTTTGAATGATAATGAGGGGCTAGATCATAAGAGGCTTTTATAAGCCCTTTAAAGAATTTTACCTTTTCCTCTGGGTAAAATAAGAAGACATTGCAGGATTTTTAGCAGAAGAGTGACATGATTTGGCTTGTCTTAAAGGGATCTCAATGTAATTGTATTGAGAATAGTTGAGAATAGGGCATTAGCAGTGCCAGTGATAGAAGCAGGGAGTCTAGATATCCATTATAGAAGAAAGAATAATATCATCTGAGATGAAAGAGTAGCTGTGGAAGTAGTGGGAACTGGATATATCTCAGGGAACTTTGCAGTGGATAGGTTTGAAGGAGAATATGAGAAGTTCAGTTTCAGAAGTGTTAAGATCCTATGCATATGTTGAGTAGGCATACATGTTTATGCTAAGTATTATTTAAACATAGTCATTTATTTTGCAGGAGCTATCTGTATAACACATGAAAGCATTAGTATATTTTCTTTCTATTTCATATAACCGATATTACTAGATACTAAAAAAGGCTTATGTTCTATTCTAAGGTAGTCAATTTAGTACTTGGAGGCTGAGAGTACATATTTTTCTTTAATTGCTGATTATTTGGTAAGGGTTTTACCAAAACTAGCAATGTATTAGAAAATAATTTTTAAAAATTAAAACTTCCTGGATCATATTCTGTAGAGTTGTGAAAACTGCAATATTTTTCACTGACACTTTTAAGATATACCTATCATGTTAACTTTGTGGTAAAATATTGAGTATCTTGAAAATTAGCACAACAAATGAATCAGACACACAAAGATAATGCCTTTGCTAGCCCAGAAAATAAATGCAATGCTCATATGCCTGAGTACACCTTGATTCTTTTCATCATTTATCATGGAAATGTGAGTTGACAGTTTTATGTATGGAATGCAAATCTGGCTCTGTTTATCAATCCCATGCATATTAATATTTATATATGGTAATTGTTGTTGCTTGTGGAATGGCCTTTAGACACTACTGCAGTTCTACACAATTTAATAGGTGAAATGTTGGAATGTATGTATTTCATGGGCTTGTTTTTATTAAACTAGTAAAACGTTTGTAGAAATTTGCTAGATGATTGTCATTCTTTTATATTTCTATACATGATAAAAAGGTAGGTTAAGATGCATTATCATATATACACATGCATAATATATTTACAAATGCAAATATTGTTTCTATTTATGGAAACTCAATAACTTTGTTGAAGCTAGAAGGACATTGGGGAAGAGTAATTGTCATGAAATGAAGGCACACATTTTCATAAAGTTGCAGATTATCTGAATTATAGTAATTATGATCCACCAAGTGACTCTTAGCTTTCTAATATAATTATGAGAGAAACGAAAACTTCATAATCCCTAATTATTCTTCCCACATGTCAAATATCATTATCAGCTAGACTGGGTTATGAGGAGAAAACAACCTTCCATCTTTTCCCCATAGCCTTTCTCACCACTATACTTCAAGAACCTGAGTCTGTGCTTTGCAGTTTAAAATAATGATAATAATAATAAAAAAACAGATCCAAGCACTTACTAGCTAGGTGATCTTGGACATATCTTCTAAACTCTCTAAGCATCTGTTTCTCCAACTATAAATAACAACAATAGTAGTAATTGTTTCATAGACAATCATATGAGTGAGAAAAGAGAGGAAATAATTTTTTTATACAGAATCAGCATTCTAAATTATTTCTGTTACTATAACTATTATCATTACATGCATATAATTTATCATAAAGATATACACCTTTTTTTCCTCCTTATAGACAGTAGCTCTTCCTATAAAGCACATAGATTCTATATCTGCTCAAAAAACTTACACTTACTATGTAAGTGTAAGCCAAATTATATAGGAAGAAATTCTCCAAGAAGTTTCTAGGGTATCTATGCAAATCCTAAAGCTTTAAAAAAATCTGCTAGTATTAGCTCATACAGTACCTGTAGGCTATATAGGAGCAGGAAAAAATATGCAATATGAAGTTGAAGACACTGTAACAGAGGTCTTCCTAAAGAACTAGAGAGAAGTTAGAAAATAATTTTTAGAAAACTTCCTGGCTCATATTCTGTAGAGTTTTGAAAACATGCAATATTTTTCACTATGACATTTTTTCTTCCTAAGGACTTAGAGAGAAGTTTCTAGTATATTGTGAGCATCTTCTAACCCCTGCAGTGAGGCAGTGCCTCCTCCCTATCTCAAGACAAATGAGAGTGGAATTTTTTTTTTTTTTGATGGATCTTGCTCTGTGGTCAGGCTGGAGTGCAGTGGTGCGACCTCAGCTCACTGTAACCTCCATCTTCCTGGTTCAAGCGATTCCCCTGCCTCAGCCTCCCAGGTAGCTGGGACTACAGGCGTGTGCCACCATGCCTGGCTAATTTTTGTACTTTAGTAGAGATGGGGTTTCACCATGTTGGCCAGGATGGTCTTGATCTCCTGACCTCATGATCCACCTGCCTTGGCCTGCCAAAGTGCTGTGATTACAGATGTGAGCCACCATGCCTGGCCGAGTGGGGCTTTTAAGTGAACCAAGACTGTATTCAAGTCTGAAAAGTTTAAGCGCAAAACGCCAGAGCTAGTTTCCTTGGAAAAGCAGAGTCAAATGGACTGCTCTGAGACACACTTCTACTGGCTGCCAGGCAATGACATTGATTTTCATGTGTTAAAGGGAGCCAACGGTGAGCCATCTCTAAAAGACCCTTTCCGAGAGGACTGCTAGCCTGGGGTCAGGGAAGCTCCATAGGAAAGGCCAGCAGTTTAGTATGGCCTGTAGGAGACGGGCTTGAGTGGTAAGGACATAAACAACCAAATGACAGAAGGAACACCATAAACCACTTTAGGAATTCCAGGAAACTACATGACTCTCAAGAAAATGCCACTAAAGAAAGAGTTAGCTTTTGGCATATATTAAGCCCAAAGCTGCATTATGATCTTCCAACGCAGGAAAAACTTTCTGACCCTTATTTCTTCCTTTTCTCTTGCCTCAAACTTTAAAGCTTCCATGAAAATCCATAGCATGGGGCAGGAGATCAAGAAAGGAAGACTGTGCCTCCCTTTTCTTGCTTATCAGCAGGGGAAAGAGAAATCTTAGACTTAAAGAGTGGTTAAAGATTTGATGTTAGACTGACAAGAATTTATGTTATCTGAAATGAACCAGAAATCATTGAGATCTTCTTGTGATTTCCTTCAAAGTTAGGGAAGAAAAACAATCTATTAAATGCACTGAAAAGGGAAATTGTGAAGAAGAATAAAGTTTCTCCCTGATTACATTCTGCAACATCCAATTTTTCAATAAGCTGGTTATATGCAATTTTACAAATTTCATTAACTTCTTCAGTAGGTTATAATTTGTTCTATTGGGAACTTTGTTGATTAGATTCATTTGTTATTCATTTAGAATTAGAGATCAGTTCATTTACTAGGAACAATTAGGAAAATTATTCTCAATGATACTGTCAGGAATAATTGTGAATGACTTTGAAATGCACAGAAAAAGATCACTGGGTGTTTTGTCTAGCTCATCCTTCACTGTCTTGATCTGTGTTACCACTCTAAATTGTAGATAACTGATAGTGATGCAAATCATTTTTCTCATAGGCAATGCAAAATGAATTTCCTCCATTGGAGGTACTATTGATTTCCTTCTCTTTCCCAAATAAGTTAATTTTCCATCTATTAATCAAATTCATTTCAACATTCCTGATAATTTAATATATGTCTCTCTTTCAGTTCTCCTTTGAACTGTTTTATAGTATCTCATTGGTGCCTTCTTTAATGAATGAGTTAAATAAATGCAAATCATACTGCTGGTCTGCTGCTATTTTCTTGCTCCCAGAGGGAAACACAAGTGACAATAGAACTTTAGTTAAATGTTGATTTTGTATTTCTTGTATTTTTCCCAATAATTTTGTGCTTTGTTGAAGTTTCTATTGTTCTTACTGTGTGCAAGTTATTCTCCATTGGTGAGAGCAATGTTTGAAAATTCGGCTTAATGATCTGGTTATTTGTTGATCATTGCTGTTGGATTATAGAATCTGTTTTCTGTTGGGTAAAAGATGACAGGGAATGAGGTTTTTATTCTTTTTTTGATTGTTTTTATAAAATTCTCAGTTCAAAATATGGTGCCCACGTGAAGGAAACAAACTCAGTCTGATCCGTATCTGTGTATTTACTCTTGACCTATGGGTGAAGTTAAAAATGTGAAGCTATAAGTACTCTATGTATCTTTGTGTCTATGTTTCTGTAATTCAGAAAGGCCTTTACCTCTGATTGTGTTAGTGTGAAATGTTTTACTCTTTCTAGAGGGTATAAATAACCTATATTTATCTTAAATTATAAGCTATGTTCCAATTGGCTTATAGAGATAAATAAATACGTAAACTAAATGATCCAAAGTCCCAGAAATAAAGGAAATTAAAAAATGAATAGTTTAAAAATGTTCTCAACTTAAAGAAATTTCTTATAAAAAAAGTCTGAAGACTTTTTGAAGATACTAAATTCACATAATTAGAATAAACATTGACAAATAAGACTAGTTGAATAATTTTTGTGTTAAAAAAGGTAGCTGTGTCTCTTCCATGATTAATTTGTGTTGAGTAGAGTAAAAGCATACACTTTATTCTACTTAGGTTTGTTTTCTCAAATTTATACAGGTCTGCTGTTTAAATAAGGTGAAATTACCCATGCATAATATTTAAAATTAAGAAAAATTTAAATCTATGCAAATAAGTTGGATCATTACTTTGTCAACCTATTTATTTCTACAGTAATTATGCTGTGTAGTATGTCAGCTTGAAGATACTTTCTAAGATGTTTAAATAATTTAAATTATTGTTCTCTTATTACATTAATTAAAGGATATTTTTATATACCTAACAAATTTCCAAGTAAGATAGGAAACCAAAGCATGTATGAAGCATCATTTTATGTTTGTATGCCTTTTAACATAAATTTTATGTTATAAAGAGAGACTATAGCTTTGCGTCATGAATGTGTGGGTGAGACCTATGTGGCCTTAGAAAGTTTCATTACATGTTCTCATAATGGTAATGCTGTGTGAGACAGACAGTTCTCATTTATCCAGCCAGCTGCTTTTTCTGTAAAATAGAATTTAGTTACTTGGGTTAAAAGATATTATTAATATAAGGATTTGAAACTATACTAGCAACAGCAGTGTCAGAGAAATACAATTCTATGTGTGCTTTTATCAAGTGAAAAAGTGTAGGTTTTTTCCTAACTTCTCAGCAATTCTCAGGTTTCTTAATTTCTGGATTTTTTATACTCTTGAGCACTGCCTAAATAACTTTTGTCTGTGTGGCTATCTATATTTACTGTGTTGGGAATTGAAACTGATATCTTTTAACACTTGTTTATCAATTCATTTGAAGATAGCAATAATAATGTATTGCATTTCAACATGATTATCATCTTAGTATTTTTATGGAAATTGTTTTGCCCTCATAGACCCCTGAGAGAACTACTGTCCTAGGGTGAAGTGTCAATTGGTTCCAGAAAATGATCAAGCATAGTGAAGGATAACATTTGGAAGGTGAATTTTAATTGCCCTGGTCTATAATATCTACTTCCAAAAAAAAGCTATGAAATATGTTAAAATTTTAGCAACGTTCACTCAATTTGTACAAACTTTCTGCCTTTGTTTCTAATTAGTGCCTTTAGCAACAGTAAAAAAGGTTATTCTTTAATTCAATGCAATCTTCCTGGATAGCAGTGATTCTGTGTTATGTCAGATTAATTTTCTGTGCCTTATGCTCAATTTGAAATGCTCTTTATTACAGAGAGAGAGTGAGAGAAAGAGAGACCAGAGTTTCCTAACTCATGTAAGAGATATAGTTCTTTATAAATGTGTTATATTCTGTTTCTTTAAAATGCTTTATTGTCACTTTAATTAAATACACATGCCAACTGTTGCTTCTCAGGCACCTGTGTCAGGCACCCTAATCAAGCACCCAAATCTCCGATAATGCTTTTGATTTTGCCTTTCCAAAACCAGCATTAAAGTTGTAAAGAAAAAATCTACTTAAAATTTTCTTTGAGGCTTTTCAGATGGATTTTGGAAAATCACACATATTTTATTTTTCTCTTTATATAAAAAGAAACACTAGAAATAATTAGGTTTGTTTTCTGTGTTACTATTGTAAGAGTTGCATAGAAAATTGTCACATCAGAAGATATGCTCAACTTCCTCTAAATTAAATTTGTATAGGTAAAATGTTATCAAAATAAATATTTCTGCTTTATGGGAAAACTCTGGAGTTTTGTCAATGTGCTTAATATCTATAATATGTACTTACCCTTGGGAAAAGCACTGATCAAAACTCTTTAGGGAAAGAATGTACTATATTGCAATAGAGAATTTTACCATCTTCCTTCCTGATATACTGATTATAGTAATAAATTAACCACAGCCAGAAATTAATCCTCTCTCATCTGTGGGTAGTTTTGATTTTACTGTTACACTTGCTAGAAGGTTCTGCTACGAGCCAGTCATTGTATATTCAACAAATAAACATAGTCTCAGAGTTTTGTAGAAAAGTATTGTACCAGACATGTCTAACTACTGACCGTTAAAAGAGTGGACCCATGGGTATAGGTTTCTGACCAAACATCACTTAGATAACTTCCATACCATACCTGTTGACTGAGTTAGGATTTCCAGGACTCATTTTAGTGTAGTGTAAGTCAGCTGCAGGCAAATGGATGGATAAGCCAGGATCCAGCAGAAAAAAAACTAATTACGTAGGACTGAATAAACGCTGAAGGAAATTACACTGTGGTTACTTGGAATATTGTTGATGTATTTTTAAGGTTCCATTCTCCAGATATGTAAGGAAGACCTTTTTCTTCTTTCTTAAGCTATTCACAATCAACAACAACTTAATAAACTCTACTTCTATACATTGAAATATGACATCTTAAAATGATATCTGATTCTCCCTGACCTTCCAGAATTTATAAAATCTTGAGTCTCCTTAATTTTCATTGCAAAAGAGAGTAGATTGCATAGTTTCTACTGCAATATCTTCTCCTTCTTACCAGCACATAATTGACAAATTGTGCAGTCATAGCCATACTTCAAATATCTTATTTGAGAATCATGCTTACTGAATAAAGTATAACAAGTTAGTTTTAAATAATAGTGTTTAGCTTTCTTGACAGAGCCAAAGCATAAAAGTTCTATTAGGAAAACTGGCCTTTTACCTTGTTCATTTGGCTTAGTCTTTTAGTGCTGGGTATAGGCCCCAAATCTGGCCATAAACTGGCCCCAAAACTGGCCATAAACAAAATCTCTGCAGCACTGTGACATATTTGTGATGGCCATGATGCCCACGCTGAAGGTTGTGGGTTTACCGGAATGATGGCAAGGAACACCTGGCCCACCCAGGGCAGAAAGCCACTTAAGGCATTCCTGAACCACAAACAATAGCATGAATGATCTGTGCCTTAAGGACATGTTCCTGCTGCAGATAACTAGCCAGAGCCCATCCCTTTGTTTCGGCTCATCCCTTTGTTTCCCATAAGGAATACTTTTAGTTAATCTATAATCTATAGAAACAATGTTTATCACTGGCTTACTGTCAATAAATATGGGGGTAAATCTCTGTTCAGGGCTCTCAGCTCTGAAAGCTGTGAGGAGTCCCCTGATTTCCCACTCCACACTTCTCTGTGTGTGTCTTTAATTCCTCTAGCGCCACTGGGTTAGGGTCTCCCCGACCGAGCTGGTCTCAGCATTTTAGACTGTAAGAAAGTTAAACTCCTGCCAGTGCAGGAGCTTTGAGAAATGTTGGGGACCTCAGGAAGAGAAGAATTCACTCAGATTTACAGACACTGCAGTTGAAATCTTGTAGAGAACATTTCTTGGGTTTGTTTTGTTATCCTCCCAATAGCAAATAGATACCTTTAAAAGCATAATCCAAAATTCCTTATGAAAACATTCATAAAGAAGTGAATTTTGTGGCTTACACGAAAGATAAAATATCTAGGAATATACCTAACCAAGGAGGTGAAAAATCTCTATGAGAAGTACAAAACATTGCCCAAAGAAATCACAGAAGACACAAACAAATGGAAAAAACCATTCCATCCTCATTGGTAGGAAGAGTCAATATCATTAAGATGTCAGTAGTGCCCAAAGCAATCTACAGATTCAACACCATTTCTATCAAATTACCAATGTCATTTTTCACAGAGTTAGGAAAAAACCTAAATTTCATATGGAACCAAAAAGAGCCCAAATAGCCAAGGCAATCCTAAGCAGAAAGAACAAAGTTGAAAGCATCACATTACCTGACTTCAAACTATACTGCAAGGCTACAGCAACCAAAACAACATGGTACTAGTACAAAAATAGACACATAGACCAATGGAACAGAGACCTTTGAAATAAAGCCACATAGCTACAACTAACTCATCTTTGACAAAGTTGACAAAAATAAACAATAGGGAAAGGATACCCTATTCAATAAATGGTGCTGGGAAAACTGGCTAACCATGTGCAAAAGAATAAAACTGGACTCCTACCTCTCACCATTTATAAAAATTAATTCAAGATGGATTAAAGGCTTAAATGTAAGACATCAAACTACAAAAATTCCAGAAGAAAGTCTAGGAAATACTCTTTTAAAGACTGGCCTAGGCAAAGGAATTACCATGAAGACCCCATAAACAAATGCAACAAAATAAAAAATAGACAAATCAGACTTAATTAAAGAGTTTCTGCACAGCAAAAGAAACTCTTAATAGAGTAAACAGACAACCTACAGAGAAGGAGAAAATATTTGCGAACTATGCATCTGACAAAGGATGCATAATATCCAGAATCAATAAGGAACTTAAATCAAGAAGAAAAAAGCCAAACAACCCCATTAAAAAGTGGGCAAAGGACATGATCAAACTCTTTTCAAAGGAATATATACAAGCAGCCAACAAACATGAAAAAATTCTCAATATCACTCATCATCAGAGAGATGCAAATCAAAATCACAATGAGATAGCATCTCAGGCCAGTCAGAATGGCTGTTATTAAAAAGTCAAAAAGTAACACATATTGGCAAAGTTGCAGAGAAAAGGGAATGTGTATACACTGTTGGTGGGAATGCAAATTAGCTTGGCTTCTGTGGAAAGCAGTTTGGAGATTTCTCATAGGACTAAAAATAGAACTACCATTCAACCCAGCAATCTCATGACTCAGTATATACCCAAAGGAAAATAAATACTTCTACCAAAACTACACATGTCCTTTTATGTTCATTGCAGTGCTATTCATAATAGCAAAGGCATGGAATCAACCTAGGTCATCAACAGTGAGCTGGATAAAGAAAATGTGGTACATATATATCATAGAATACTATGCAGCCACAAAGAAGAATGGGATCATGTGTTTTGCAGGAACATGGATGGTGTTGGAGGGCATTATCCTTAGTAAAGTAATGCAGAAGCAGAAAACCAAGATAACTCATGTTCTCACTTATAAGTTGGAGCTATATCTTGAGTTCACATAGATTTTAAAGATGGGAATACTAGGCACTGGGAACTCCAAATGGCTGGGGTAAGGGAGGGGCCAAGGGTTGCAAAACTTCCTACTGGTAACTACGTCCACTATCTGGGTGATAGGATCAACAGAAGCCCAAACTTCAGTACCAAGAAATATACCCTTGTAACAAATCTGCACATGTATCCCCTGAATCTAAAATAAAAATGAAAACTAAAAAAAGAATTTTATGACTTTGTGGGTTTTAAAATATTCTGTGATACTTGATTTGCAAAAGAACATGTAAGGAGAACTACAGGGTTAATTAAAACTGTTGCTGGACCTATATAAACAACCAGGCCAAACCTAACAAAACTAGTCAATTCTTTGTAATCAATTATAGTCTTCTTTGTTATTATGATATGAACATAAATTGGGAGGATTGTCAGAAAAATAATTGTGAATGGACAAATTGAAATGCAAGGCTACAGTAACCAAAATTATTCCTGGGTGGCCTGTTCTGCAAACACATCAGGATTATCTCTGTCTTTCATTTACTTTGAGCTGTTTTACACTTTTTTTTCTTTTAGATGGAGTCTCACTCTGTCGCCCAGGATGGAGTGCAGTGGCATGATCTCAGCTTACTGAAACCTCCACCTCCTGGGTTCAAGCAATTCTCCTGCCTCAGCCTCCAGAGTAGCTGGGATTACAGGTGCGTGCCACCATGCCCAGCTAATTTTTTGTATTTTTAGTAGAGACCGGGTTTCACCATGCTGGCCAGGCTGGTCTCGAACTCCTGACCTTGTGATCTGCCCACCTCAGGCTCCCAAAGTGTTGGGATTACAGGCATGAGCCACTGCACCCAGCCTTTACACCTTTTAAGTAGTAGGTACTGACAATGGTGAAAGTAATTCTTATCCATATAAAACAATGCATTTTGACAGGTGGAGGCGCAGTTGATTTTCATTTACCCTGTAGAAGAAGCCAGTTTATTATCTATTATATTGAGCCCAATAATTTCATCATTCCTGTTTATGTATGTATGCTTGCTTTTAGGATAATCTGTTGAATAGATATAACACCTTACATGTTCTCTCATTCATTAAAGAGTTAAACTACATATTTTAAATGTGTTCATATTATATTTAGATGAGAGCTGTGACTTTACCTTTTTAAAAATATAATACTGTGTGTGTGTGTTTGTAATATCAATTTGCCTTTCAAGCCCTTTACTTTTTTTTCTACCTTTACCATGTAACAGGTGCTATTCAAGTAGATTTACAAGTCTTTTCAATTCTAAGAACAGTTCTGCAATGGAAGTATTATTAAGCTCATTTTACATCTAAGGAAATAAACTTGCAAGATATTAAGTGGTGAAATTATAATTTAAACTTGAATTTTTCCAATGCCTGTACCTTTAGCAAAAGGTTAACTTTTCAAAATATTTCATGAAAAGCCAAAATGCAACTGATGGATACTACGATTTACTGCAATATAATAGAATGTGGCATAATTGTTTGGGTAATCAAAATCAGGAATTAATCTATAAGAAAACATTATTTCAGGAAAATTCTCAGTGAGATGAAGGAAATTGGCATCCAATGTGCACATTCTGTTGACAATAAAAAATATAAATAGCCCTAGAAAATTTGCCAGTATATCATTCACAGTATCGTTCTATAAAATTGGCTGGCTTCCTAACTTCCAACCTTCCAGCAAGCCTATTAACCTTAGCTGGTATTGTTTTGAACAGCTTTCAGAATCATCTACTTTATCACCAAAAGCAAAGAATTGCTTGTTCTTTTTTTATGTTTTTTTTCAGTTTTTTTTTTAATAGAATGCTTGATGGAGTTGCTTTTTCTTACATACCTCAGCAATATGACTTGCCTGTACTTAGATATGAGGTGACATTTTGAATGTCTTGCTGTAAAATATTTCTCCCCATGTAAATTGCAATGCCTTTGCATTTTGTTTACTTTTCCAAATTCAGTCTATAAACATAGGTTTTCTATAATTATTTTTTTAAGAACAATAAAATGTTACTCTCCCTTGTCCCAGAATTCTATTTGGAAATGTCTGCTTGCTTTCAAATATTCACCAATTTTGGCTTCTCCCGAAATTGAAAAGTCCGAAACAAAAACTTCACTTGTGCTTGTGACAGTACTAGACAGTTTATATCTTAATTGATTATCTTATCCTTCATGATTAAGTTTTGGTAAGCCACAGAGAACCTGTCTTCCCCTGTCCATTTCTATATGTCCAACAATATTAGAGTATCCACTTGGGTGAGTAATTGCATGGCCTTTAATCTTTTACTTAACCAGTGAATACTTTATAAAGTTATGTATATTGGGTGAGCCCCTTCTGAGCACAGAGCACATTTCATTTTTCTCTCTTCATTCTCTGTTTTTTATGTTTAAATTTTTCTTTATCATTCCAGCACTTATTATCAATGATATCCCAGACACACCCACTACACTCATGCAATTGGAGTGAGTTGATATCTCCACTCCTGATATCACCAGGATTAACTACTCTGCACCTTCAGCAGAGTTGTCTGACTCCTCTACTTGGATATTTCTTTGGAAAAATATGTTAATGCTATCACAATTCTTAGATATTTTGCTTCTTTCTCTGCCTCTAATGTGGTTTTCTTGTTTGTTTTTTGGTTTATTGCCTTACTCATTAACCCCATGTTTAATTCTTTTGTCGATGTTTATTTCATTCTCTACTGTCTCCTTTATACCACTCATACATCCAAGTACTGGATTTTAAACTGATCATTTCAAATAAATCCTCTTTTTACCCTGGGCTTTCCATTGCATCAGTATTTCTCTAACTTTATATATAAAGTATTACTCAAAATTAGCAAGCCAAGGCTAATTTTATTAACTTCTCTAAGAAACATAACATTTGAACAATTCTTAATTCAGCATCATTCTGCCTTATTATCAATCTTTATTCAAAAGTGGCATGGGTAGAAAGCAACTGTATGGCTACTTTGACTCACCATCTCATTGGCTTCTCATGTGTTCATACTACCATCAGTCTGCTTATACCCTCTTAAATAAGCATCTTGGTTTCTTCTTCCCTTTCTGTTTAAACAGCTACTACTTACATTGAAGCCTTCATAATATACATCAGGCAAATAGGTAAACACTGATCTTTACATTTCATATTCTTACCTTAATATAATAAAGCTATGCCTTGGAATTTCTTAAACAAACTTTATTTCCCCCCCTTTCTATTGCATTACTTCAAGATTCTTAACTCTTCAACTAAAACCCCTCAATTTTTCAGTATCGATTTACAGATTCAGCTATTAAAATCTTTCAACATTTCTCACAAATGGCTCCTAAGTTTATTAACTATTTTAAAATACATTTGGATGGACATTAATTGTATTTTATATACTCTGTGATCATTATATTGCTCAAACAAGTCTAGCATGTTTTCTGTTTGCCATGTAGATAAGAGTTCTAATATTTAAAATCAAATAATGCAATTAAATGGGTAACAGTTTTTCTTCAAATATGTGGCCTAATATTAAAACAATGTTTGGGTGAATTACTTTGGGATTTACCATCCACATTTGAATTCAGAACCATTAAAAATCTCTTTATCTTTTCTGACCAACCCTGGAACTAAATGCAGAGTTTTCATTCTATCCAGTGTTGAAAACATGTGACTGGTCGTATTTTTCTCTCTTCATTCATTCTTTCATTTGTTTACCCACTGATTCATTAGCCATTTTATGAGCATCAACTTTGTATCAAACCCTTTAGAATGCACATATATACTTAGATACTTATATATGTGTGTGTATATATATGTATATGTATATATATATACACACACATATATATACCCCTATATACATATATAAACAAGTTGTCACTGTATTTTAAATTCTTACATCTAATTGGGCAAGAAAACAAATACAATATTAAAATGCAATGTGATAAATATCACAATTACGGTATGGCAAAAATGCTATGAAAGAACAATCTCTGAAGTCTTTGAATGTTACAAGGGAGAAGAGATTATTCAATTTTGTGGAAAGAGAGACAGCACAAAGTCTTCTAGGCAGAGGCACAAAGTATTCACTTGTGAAATGGCAGGTGGCTCTAGAAAAGCAGTGTGAGTTAAGACATGAGGCAGAGTTTGATTGTGATTTTAAATGAAATAATTGCTTTGCCCCTACTTTCTGTCTTTGTTTCTACCAGTATTTCATATGAAATTTCTTTTGTCCCCCCACCACAGTTTGCAGAAGTCTTTTGAAAGAGTTTAGGACCAGTACTAATCTAGGCTTTGTTTTAATGAAATGAAAGTAACTGTTAAAACTCAATTTGCAAGTGCCATGGTAACTGTGTAGTTGAATTTATTTTCTTATTCTCTATAGACACAACATCTGAGCTAGTCTGTCACAGTAGCCTCTGTTTAATAAATGGAATAGTCATGCAGTAAATTAATGAATGTCTCAACATGTACATTTTTACACCTTTATCTAGGCTTTCACATGGACAGCTCTAACTGGTCTGGCTCAGATTCACTTCAGTTCATACACTCAAGAACACATTTATCAGGCACCAGACAGTGAGGCTCTTTTAGACAGTCAATATACTGCAGGAGAGAAGCTGAAGAGTGAAATTCTAATTATTCTCGACATAGGGCATTCTAAGAGTGTCTCATGCCAAAATAATGAAAGTTATCTTTCTTCAGGAAATTGAAAGACGATACATGAAGTGTCTTCAGGTTTCCACGGAAATGGAATTAAATAAGAAACATTTGGCACTTTCTGATGGATACAGATCAACCTGAAGTCACTTCACATCTGCTGGCTAAATAGAGAAATAACTATAAATCTTTTCAAAAACAAAGGAGAGAAAAATGTAGGAAATACATCAAGTAATACCTTTATGGCACCATTAGTATGACTCTATAAAGAAGGTTATTTATAATGGTGGAATTGTTTGTCACACAGCATATGAAAAAAGGAAATTAAAATTATAGATGGTTTACAGTATTAAACATGATCTTGTAAACTCTAGATATGTCACCTTACTAGACGCAAACCTTATTTTTAATTTTTAGCAACATTTAAAAAAATTAGAGATGTATGAATATTCAGCATGGTTTAAGCTCGGTTCATTTGGATATTTTCTAAACAATCCTTAGTAGAAATTTAAACAAGTTTATCTTGTTCTCATATATGTGTTTATGCATAAAGGGTTGTTTTGAAGTAGTGTTAATGGTGAATAAATGTATGCAATGGAATAAATTCTTTACAACTGTGGACCTACTTCATGAGAAATGTATATAAAGCACACAGAATTCAGACTTCTTCCAAAAGTCTCTGGTTCATACTTCTCCCCATCATGCTCCATTTCCAATTATGCACCATATACCTGTTCAAATATAATTATATAAGAATTTTTATGTTTAAGCTTAGCAACAGTAAATTTTTCATCAGTTCAAGAAATAATATATGTATCCACGAGAGTTAAAAAGACAATATTTTATCAATATATAACTAGTCTCATATTTCAAGTGCAGAGGCAAACTATTATCACAATATAAATATTTTCATGTGAAAATATAAAAATAAACTCTCATGCATATTCATGTAAAACAAAACAAGTGTATGGCTACAAAAAAGTCCTGTGTTGGCAATTTTTTCATCATAATCTGCATTCCTGTTTCTCTTAACCCTTAGAGAAGAACTATCAATGTTTTAATAAGATTCAGTTGGAAAGCAAAGTGTAAAAGTGCTTATTTTATTCCACTCAGACTCCACCACAGACCTGGAAGTGGTCCTGCCTGTGGAGGCAGAAGGGCTGTGGGGAGTTTTCATTTAGCAGCCTAGTCTGGTAAACTAATAAACACAAATTTGACTCTTTGCTCTCTCCTTCATGTCTTCGTATACTTCCCCATGGTATCAGCTGCAAAAAAACGAAGGCTTTGAGTCAGACTGAGACATAAGCAAGGATTGCACTCTGAGTTAGGCACCTGTCAAAAATAATGTGATTCCTTATGTAATATTAGAGAATAGGTAGAGATACATACAAAGTTATATTTTATTATTTGACCATTAAAGTACAGTTCTGTCTGCCATACTTTTTTCCATACTAGAGAGTAACCTCTATTAAATACTATTATCTAAATTCTGGCCTGCTATGAATTTTCAACCAAAGAAAAGAAAGCCATTTCAATAAACTGCTATACAAGATACTAAAATTTAATGATATAATTTAGGTGTTATAATTTTTTGAAAGGACATTAGAGGTCAGAGTTAAACGTCTTCATTTTCAGATGCAGAGGCAGTTTAACAATAAGTTTTAATGGCTTGTTCAAGGTAATTTTTAGCTTTTATTGGACATAAATTTCATGTTTTATTTAGGTCCAACATTCTTGTATATCTAATGGTGCTTCTCAAAAATTTTCCACTACAATGTAGGATGATGCCTATATTGAATGGGGAATATATAACAGGGAGGTCATTCTACCCCTACAAAGAAATAACAGTGGTAATGAGGAGATGTAACTGAAAGATGATTCTAGTTCAGAAATCCCCCCATCCCTCCTCACAGTTCAGAATAAAGGAAGTTTTCTGTGAGAATTATTGTTCTAAACTAGGGTTTTAATTGCCACATGTTAATTTGCAACAAAGAAATTATTGGGCCTAAACTACCCTTCATGTCTTTAGGGTGCTATAAAAGAGAGAGAGAGAGTAGAAAGAGAGAGAGGGAAAGGAAGAGAGAAAAAGAGAGAGAGAGAGAGATAGGGAAGTAGCTTGTAAATGAAGGGGCAGATAAAGGGACGGAAGTACAATTGCAAGCTGACTAGGCATGACTTCCTATGCAATGCAACTGGCACTGCAGTATCAACTTGCTCCTCCTTGCCTTATTCAACAGTGCACAGATTCTCTGCCTGTCCATTTCATAGTAAGAAGAGAAATGGAGGACATTTAGTTTTTTTGTTAAGTCTTGATGACCATTTTAGGAATCAGCTTAATTACTTTGATGGGAAAAGTAAAAGATTTAAAAACAAGCATGAGAAATTCACAGAAAGATGTGATTAAAAAAGAAAAACCTCATGGTATAGTAGTATGCGAGGAAGCATTTCTTACCACTTTCTCATATTTAAATCTGGCCTTTTGTTTCAGAGTTATGACAAGTTTAGTCAGAGCGGTGGTGGAACAGAGGTCATTTTATCAGGCATGAGTGGGATGGAAATTCTGTCCCACTTCCCATATCCCACAAAGTAGTGATCTAAATACATTTGAGTTTGAACAGAGGGGTAAATAGGCTAGAGCAGAGAAAGCAAACTATTATGATCACTATAATTCACTGATTATCAATACTTCTTTACCATCTTGCCTCATTGTCCACTTTTCTACATATTGTCTAGTTATATTCTTTGATTTTTTTTTTAATTGCCAAAGTTACTTTCTGATCTGTGGCCAAATCTTTTAGTTGTTGGAAGCACTCTGAGTGTGGAGGATAATACATAATAAGACAGCCACATTTATGAAACTTTGGATGATACGTCTGAGCATCACAGATTTTTGGCAATATATGGATATTGATTAGATTTTAACATTCTATTTTATTCCCTTTCCTCGGGATTTTGTTTCCAATCTGCCAGGGGAGAGAAGTTAAATTATTTCACTGCAGAATTTCAATATATAAAAAGGTCACTATTGCATAGCTACTCCTTAGGTAAAGATAGGGGCTTAAAGAAGAAAGAATATTAACTTTATATATGGCCACAACAAATAATCTAAATCTATTTAGCATGATAAATTAGGTACTTCCAAGGCAAGCTGAAAAGATCTACAGTCATAAACCATATGACATTTTGGTCAGTGACAGATCACATATATGAAGGTGGTCCTATAAGATTATAATATGATGATGGTCTCATAAAATTATGATACCATATTTTTACTGTACTTTTTTATATTTAAATACACACACTTACCATTGTGTGACCATTGTCTACAATATTCAGTAGTAATATATTGTCCAGGTTTGTAGCCTAGGAGCAATAGACTATACCATGTAGCCTAGTTGTGTGGCAAGCTTCACCATCTAGGTTTGTCTGAGTACACTCTATGATGCTTGCACAATGATAAAATTCCCTAATGATTTATTTCTCAGAATGTATCCCCACTGTTAATCGATGCATGGATTGCAGTTTTTAGAATCTCTATTCTGGGCCATTAATAATATATTTAGGGATTAACAATATATATTTTTAAGACATCTGTTACTTCCTGTCTGTTAACTAAGAAGGGGTTGAAGTGGAAAGAAGGGAATTAGTACTTATTTAGCACCTACTTTGTGCCAGGTGCTATATTCCATTTATTTTTTTTTCATTTAATACAGTATCTTATGAAGTATGGGATCTTCATTTTTTAGGCAAGAAGTCTCAGAAGTTAAGGAAATTTAACATATATTACTCCTTGAATATAAAGTGTTTTATGAGACTTAAAGGCTTTTTTCTTTACCATTTATGACCTATGTCACTGGATCCTATCTGGTATATGAAGTTGTAATGGGAGACATGCGTTTCTGACTTAATCTTTAGTTGCTGCCCTATAGTTCACTGAAAACGGTCTCAGAGGAAGAGGGAGAATAATTTCTCGGCCAGTCCTTCTGTAATATGGAAGAAAGCAGCTTGAGAAGATGGTCTCCGATTTAACCAATTGCACAAGCAATGATCTCTATGCAATCAGAGAGCACAGAGAGGCTGGGGTGCAGCTGAATTGCTCTGAATTCTCTTCAAGTCTGTTCAACTCTGCAGGAGCTGCCTTCCGCTAGGGACACATCTTTCTTTCCTGGCATCTTGTGATGGCCTCTTAACTGGGCTTCCTACAGCTTTTATAACTATATATGTGCTCCTTCCATACAATCTCCATATAGCCACAATAATATTCCCCAAACTCATATTCAGTCATCTTACACAACTACTTTTTAACCTTTTAGTGGCTTTTCACTGTCATTAAGATGAAGTTCAACATTCTTAAACTGTTCTTTAAGCCCTTGTATTATCTGACCCCTTTGATCTGGGCATTAGAGTATAGTTTTCTGGAGAAATGTGAATGGGTTATAGATATTGCCAGATGGTTGTGCATGTGTACATATATAAAAAATATTTTTATATCTAAACATTTTTATATCTAAACATATATTTAGATATAAATATACCAAAATCTATAACTAGTAATACATTTCTATGAGGTTGTTTTCTGTTGCCGTTGTTGTTTTAGAAGTGGGGTCTTTCTCTGTCATCCAAATTGGAGTGCGGTGGTGTAATCATAGTTCACTGCAGTCTGGAATTCCTAGGCTTAAGGAATCCTCCCACCTCAGCCTCCCGGGTAGCTGGGGCTACATGCATGTGTCACCATGCCCAGCTAATTATTGTTTTATTTTTGTAGATATTGGGTCTTGTTACATGTTCAGGCTGGTCTATAACTCCTGCCTAAAGTGACCATCTCACCTCAGCCTCCGAAAGGGTTGGGATTACAGGCTTCAGCCACTGGGTCCAGCCTCCCATGAGCTTTTTCCTTATACAGAAGATAAAATAAGGAATCTTATCATAAGACATCATTAAGAACCCCTTTAAAGATTTTGATGACTCTTAGGTAATGCCTGAATTTCTCTCTCTTGTCTTTCAAAAAATATCTGAGCTCAGTCTGAAGCTAGGATATTGCTTGCGTTAGCACACCTCAGACTATTCCTTTGGAGCCATTTTTATAAGACCGTGTCTGAGTGAAAATTATTTAATTATGAAACATAAGGGAGAAATATGGAGCATAAAACATAGCCTGTTTTTATGAAGAAACTACATGTCAGAGGGGAGGCAATTTCCAAGGCCATGGAAGGGTTAAAACAGAGCTAGTCACTGTGATTCCAATTCATTGCGTTTCAACCACTCCATTATCACTTGCTTTCTAAATTTCAGAAAACATTTCAAAATAAGAATTATCCTTTCTTATCTTTGTTCTGTCAGCCTACTACATTGCATTTGAGGATAAGAAATCAGTTTCTATTCAAATAACCAAAGTCTCTGTGCCAGGTACTTTGGGCAGATGATTAACAGGGTCAAATTTTAATATGTACATGAAGTCCTACATTGCTATACTATTGCTTAAAAATCGCAAACATATTTATTTATTTTAAAATATGAATAAAAGCTAAAAATCACAACAGATATAAGCAGGTGAAACCACTCCAAGTACACTGGAAAATTTTTTGAGAAATGTGATATATTTAGTAAATTGATACATACTTAATGAACTGTAATGATACTAGTTCTTTTTGTATGTTTTGAAAATGGAATGTCATAACTTCTTATCAGAGAAAAATCATCAATATCTATTTTAATAAAAAACAGGATAGATGATTATATTAACATGCTTTTCATGCTTCTGTTATACATAGAAAGGAAAGTTTAAAATCAAGAAAACATAGACTTAAAAAAATCACTGTGTGGGACTAACTGCTTTGTCTCACTTTTTGAACTGTTTCTCAGTTCATGGTCTGCTTGTATCTCTCTGCTAATATACTTTGAATAGGGAGAATTCTTTTCAGTGATTGGCATGACTTTGATTCAGCATAGCAAGGACAAGCTAGTTTAGATAGATAGATATACATTTTTTTTTTCTGTATGGTAAGATCATAGAGTTCCACTTGTCATGTGTAGTTTCTGCCTCTCTCAGTTAAATCAACACAATTGAAATATGCTTTATTGTTTTAAATAACAGCTTGGGCAGAATATGTACCTGCCATCAAACACAGGAAATATATTTGACAAAATCTTTTACACTGTTCAATTATAAAAGTTAGGAATTTATACTTTGAGCCACCACATCATCCAAAAGTAAATCACTCTTTTATAACTACTCTTTCTAGTCACTCATAGATGAAATTAGTAGTAGTTCTGCGGAGTCTGAAGTCATATGATTGAATCATCTCTCTGCTATTAAACAACTGAATAATGTGTTATGTTGCATAAATTAGATAATTTACTTGAAAATATCTTATACATAGAAAAGATGTATTGTGGTTATTATTTGAGAAACTTAGAGGTTAATTGATTGCATTTTTCTTTTACAATGAAGTGTTTTGGTTAAAGATTATAAGGTGTCATCAAACAGTAATGGAAGGATATTGTCATTTTAACTGGATAAACAACCTGCATCACTCAATCATTGCAAGCACAACAGACTCATCTCGCAGTGTTGACATAAGTGTGAAATATTACACTGTAATTTTAAACCACTGAAGATTATGTTTTATAGTCATGTAACATAAATTACGTTTTCCTATTATACAAGAAATTTTTAAACGAATTTTATAAAACTGTATAAATGAAAATATTGATAAATATGGTAATATTAAAATAAGACACTATCAAATACAAATATAAATGCTTCTTAGAGACAATAGGAATTCCAAAAATATAAAACTAAAAGATTCAGACCTCAAACATATATAGATATTATAAACCAATAAGAACAAAAAAAAAAACTAATAGGCAAACGTTAAAATGTATCAACAGGCAATTCAGAGAAGAAATCATAGTATCCAATACATTTTTGGAAAAAATAAATGGCATACAAAAATTCAAATTCAAAGCAAATACCATATTTTTAACTTTCATATTGAAAATAAATATTAACATTCTAAAAATATTAAGTATTATCAAGGATGTAGAGCAAAGAAAACCCAGATTCTGTGCTGGTGGGGATATAAACTAGGTAATTTTGGAAGGTAATTGCACAAATTTAGTGAAGTTGAAGATGTACATATTCTAAAACTAACCACTTACATTCTATTTCCTGAGACATCTTTTGCTTATGTAAATTCATTTATTAGGACATTAGTTATAAGAGTGAAATATTTGTTTATCCAAAGGAGAGTGTTAATTTACTTGAAGTATATTTTTATGAATGACTCTATTTAGTTCATAAAATATTTGAAGTAGAATTCATGTATAAACAAAGAAATTTCACATAAAAATGTTTTGAAGTAAGATAATTATAGAATGGAAATCTCAATATTATATTTTAAAATGTAAACATATGCAAACTGGTTAGTATGTATTAAGTATGAACTCATATGTATGGAAAAAACACTGAAATGTTTGGAATAAAAATCACTATAATTTAGGATAGTAATTCTGTGCTAGACGAAGGGAAAAAAGAGGTGAAGAAGATCAATGTATTAGTCTTTTCTCGCATTGATATAAATAAATATCCAAAAGTAGGTAATTTATAAAGAAAAGAGGGTTTAAATTGGCTCACAGTTCTGCAGGCTGTACAGGAAGCTCAGGAAACTTACAGTTATGGTAGAAGGGGAAGGGGAAGCAGGCGTGTATTACATGGCCAGAGCAGGAGCCAGAGAGAGCGAGCAGGGAGGTACTACACACTTTTAAATGACCAGATCCTGGGAGAATCACTCATTATCACAAGCAAGGGATATGATGCTAAACCAATCAGGAGAAACCACCCCCATGATACAATCACCTTCCACCAGACTCTACCTCCAACATTGGGGATTACAATTGAACATGAGATTTGGGTGGAAACACAGATCCAAACCACATCAATCAAGAAAGGAGGATTCAGAATTTTAATTATATCTGTAACGTTTGTACTTAAAAAATAGTAATGAGACTTTAGCTTCCAGAATTGGTGCACTAGTAAATCTGAATCAACAATCCTACTGAAAACTACAAGAAAAGCTGGACAAAGACTAAAGAAGCATCTGCTTGAAGTAATTGGCAAGTTACCAATTCTCCAACTATTGGAGGATGTACAATTCAAGGCATCTGAGCCTGGCATTTAGGGCCATTTTAGCCTTCTGGGTATGTGCCAATCCAGGAAGAAGTAACTGAGAGTTTGTGACCCTGGGAACTGTTTTTGAGAGTCTCATGAGACCAGGGAAACAAAAATTAGACTCCATACATTTCCATGATGTAAAAGATGCCCTAGATAAATTTCTCATCTTTGCACTGGGATCCTAAAGTGTTGGAATACAGGAGCAAGTTTTACTTACAGTGAAATTGACATTCTGAGGAACTGCAACCCAGCATTAATTAAATTTAATCATGGATACTTGATTTAGTTGATCTGGGATTGTTATGATGCCTAAGCCCCCAATAGAAATTGTCAAGATTGTGGTTACTTTAGGAGAGGAGATGGAATAGTAATGGAAGAGGACAGAAAAGGAATCTGTGGGTTGTGGCAAACGTTTTTTTAACTTGGGTAGTGGCTACAAAGGTAATAATTTTGTAATAAATCTTGGGCAGTATATTTTTTGTTTTGTGTACTTATAGACATATTGAAATATTTCATACTACATCAGGCTAAATAAGTCTTTTAAAAAGTAGGAATTCAAAAAATGTGAACTCATTTTTCAAAAAGTGAAGCAAATAAGACAAATCTATTAATATTTGATAAAGCTAGTTTATTGCTACATTGATTGCTTTTTTGTATCATATACCTCAAAAATTAAGTAGTAAAAGAGTAATAACAAATCAACACCATGTTCATTCTGAGAAAGACTGGGCAAAAAAAAAAATCACTGTCATTACAAGGGAGCAAAATATTACATCTAGCTTTGTAAACAACTTATAGGTGATATTTACAACAGCTGGAAGCCATTTCTGAATGTTGTTTAGGGATCTAGATTTCTCCTCTTATCCCGTATAACTTTTCATTGAATTCCATTGTTTTTCAGGAAAAAAAAATATAAGTTTTTTTCACAGGGCTTGGAAATGAGCACTAGCTCATGCAGTTTCAGCTCACAAAGCGAACTCAACAATCCTGTAAAAAGGCAGCAAGAACCAATATTATAGATTTTGCCCTTTGAATTTCCTAGAATAGTTACCAAGTAGAAAAAGTTTGGCAAAAGTAATTTGAATGGCAAATCACATATTTTGAACCATACAACTTGATAACTTTCCTATTGCATTGCCAGATTATTTTATTTTAATATGCTATATACAATATATTTGTCTTTCCTAAGAGGTCAACAAGGTTGAAATTTATTTTTCTCTATTGTTGATCTTGAAAAGTCATCCAATTAGGTTACTAGAGCATTTGTAAAATCAAGTGTCATTTTTTTCCTCTCAATTTTCCTGATATCTAAAATATGCATGAATTTTTATTTTTATGTCATCGTATATTTGAAACATTTTCTGCTACACTTTTGTAGCATTTGCAGCCTTAAGGACTTGTCCTATATCAATGGGGATCTTCTGTTGTCATTTGTTTACCTCTCTGTCTCTAGAGATTAACCTGAGGACACAAATCATGACTTAAAAATCTTTATACCTTGTGCCTAGTAAATAATTCAATAAACATCAGCAAATTGGTGAATAAGAATGGACTTCTAGAGAGATCATCATATCAATGAAAACAGGTAATCCTTGACATATTAGAACGATGGTAGATAGGAGATAGGACTAACTTGCAGATCCCACTTGGATGGCCAGAGCAGCGTGTGGAGACTCACATCGTGAACTTTTACTCCAATAACTTCCACAGGAACATACCAGAAACTCTCAGAGAATCCACAGACCCTTTGAAGGAACTGGGACACCATTGCAGGCTCCCTGAGATGCTGAAAAACTGAATCTTCTTGCTTTCTCAATGGGGAGGCTCATGGTCTGGGGCAAGTTCTCAGCCCTTGTCACTGGCTGCCTGGAAATAGACTCGGTGCTGTTGTGGTGGGGATGGTGGGAGCGAGACCAGCCTTTAAGACAGTGGGCTGTGTGGGAGCAGGGTGAAGCCTGTGACTGCCAGCTTTCCCCCACTTTCCTGGCGACCTGTATGACTCAGCAGACACAGCCATAATCTCCCTGGGTAATAATATAACTCCACTGGACTGGGAACCACACCCTTATCTCTCACAGTAGCCACAGCAAGCCCTACCCATGGAGAAGCTGGGCTCAGACTAAGCCTCTCCCTGCCCCTACCTGGTGGTCTTTCTCTACCTGCCCTGGCAGCTGAAGACAAAGCTCATATTCTCTTGCGAGCTTGATGGCCTGCCCACTGCCTGAAAAACCTGAATACTTAGCCAGGTGTCCCTAGGGCAAGTTTGCATCCTCCCTGTATGACCACAGCTAATATGCTCTTGAAAGCACCACCTCCTGGCTTGAGGCCAACCCACACAAAACAGGTGCACTAAACAAAAACACAACCAAGGACCCTCACAGAGTCCACTTTACTCCGCTGCTAAGTCCACAAGAGCAGGTGCTGGTATCCATGGCTGTCAGACCTGAAGATGGATCACATCACAGGACTCTTTGCAAACAATCCCCAGTACCAGCCAAGATCCTGGTAGCTTCCCTGTGTGGCTAGACCTGGAAGAGCAAAAACGATCACTACAGTTCTGCTCTCAGGAGGCCCCATTCCTAGAGGAAGGGAGAGAACACCACATCAAGAGAGCACCCCATGGGATAAAAGAATGTGAACAGCAGCCCTTGAATCCCAGATCTTCCCTCTGACATCGTTTACCCAAATGAGAGGAACCAGAAAAATAATTTTGGTAATATGACAAAACAAGGTTCTACCTAATGAGAAGGAATCAGAAAAACAATTCTGGTAATATGACAAAAGAATATTCTTTACCACCCCCTAAAGACCATACCAGATCACCAGCAATGGATCCACACCAAGGTGACATCTCTGAATTGCCAGAAAAAGAATACAGAAGGTCAATTATTAAGCTAATCAAGGAGGTACCAGAGAAACATGAAGTCCAACTTAGAGAAATTAAAATCATGATACAGGATATGAAAGGAAAAGTCTTCAGTGAAATAAACAGCATAAATTAAAAACAAACACAAATTCTGGAAATTAAGGACCACATAGAGAAATGCAAAATGCACTGGAAAATCTCAGCAATAGAATAAAACAAGCAGAAGAAAGAACTTCAAAGGTCGAAGACAAGGCTTCTGAATTAATTCAATCCATCAAAGATGAAGAAAAAAGAATTTAAAAAACTAACAAAGCCTCCAAGAAGTTTGGGACTATGTTAAACATGCAAATCTAAGAATAATTGGCGTTCCCAAGAAAGAAGAGAAATTTAAAAGTTTGGAAAACATATTTGAGGGAATAATCAAGGAAAACTCCCCCTGCCTTGCTAGACATCTAGACATCCCCAGTACAAGAAGCTCTGAAGATACCTGGGAAATTCATTGCCAAAAGATCATGGCCTAGGTACATAGCCATCAGGTTATCTAACGTCAAGACAAAGGAAATGATCTTAAAAGCTGTGATGTGGTTGATGGGTGTAGCAAACCACCATGGCACGTGTATACCTATGTAACAAACCTGCATGTTCTGCACATGTACCCCAGAAGTTAAAGTATAATACTAATAAAAAAACAAGCTGTGAGGCAAAAGCATTAGATAACCTATAAATGAAAACGTATCAGGTTAACAGGAGATTTCTCAGAAACTCTACACGCTAGAAGGAATTGGGGTCCTATTTTTGACCTCCTTAAACAAAACAATTATCAGCCAAGAATTTTGTATCCAGTGAAAGTAAACTTCGTAAATGAAGGAATGGTAGTCTTTTCCAGCCCCAAAAAAACTGAGAGAATTTGCCACTACCATCCAACACTAAAATAACTGCCAATAGGGGCTCTAAATCTTGAAATAAATCCTCAAAATACACCAAAATAGAACCTCCTTAAAGCATAATTCTCACAGACCTACATAACAATAACACAATAAAAAATGCATTCCAGCAACAAATAGCATGATGAATAGAAAAGTACCTCAAATCTCAATAATAACATTGAATGCAAATGGCCTAAATCTTCCACTTAAAAGACATAGAATGGCAGAATGGATAAGAATTCACCAACCAAGTTTCTGGGAGGCTCACCTAACACATAAGGACTCACATAAACTTAAGGTAAAGAGATGGAAAAAGAATTCCTTGCAAATAGACACCAAAAACAAGTAGGAAGTAGCTATTTTCATATCAAACAAAACAAACTTTAAGGCAACAGCAGTTAAAAAAAGACAAAGAGGGACATTATATAATGATAAAAGGACTAGTCCAACAGGAAAATATCACAATTCTAAATATATATGCACCTAACACTGGAGCTCCCAAATTTATGAAACAATTATTACTAGACCTAAGAAATGAGAGAGACGGCAACACAATAATAATGGGGGACTATAGTACTTCACTGACAACACCATACAGGTCATGAAGACAGAAAGTCAACAAAGAAACAATGAATTTAAAGTATATCCTATTACAAATGGACTTAACATATTTACAGAACATTCTACTCACCAACTACAGAATACACATTCGATTCCTCAGCAACTGGAACATTCTCCAAGATAGACCATATGATAGGCCACAAAACAAGTCTCAGTAAATTTAAGAAAATCTAAATTATGTCAAGTACTCTCTCAGACCACAGGGGAATAAAATTGGAAATTGACTCTGAAAGGAACCCCCTAAATTATGCAAATACATGGAAATTAAATAACCTGCTCCTGTATGAACATTGAGTCAACAATGAAATCTTGATAAAAATAAAAAAAATTATTTGAACTGAATGATAATAATGACACAATCTGTCAAAACCTCTGAGATACAGCAAAAATGGTGCTAAAAGGAAACTTCATCTCATTGAATGCCTACACCAAAAAGTCTAGAAGAGCACAAATAGACAATCTAAGGTCATACTTCATGGAACTGGAGAAACAAGAACAATCCAAACCCATACCCCACAGAAGAAAAGAAATAACAAAGATCAGAGCAGAATAAAATGAAGTTGAAACAACAACAACAACAAAAATACAAAAGATAAATGAAACAAAAAGCTGGTTCTTTGAAAAGATAAATAAAATTGATAGACCATTAGCGAGATTAACCAAGAAAAAAAAAAGAGAAGGTCCTAATAAACTCAATTTGAAACTAAGCAAGAGATATTATGACTGATAACACAGAAATACAAAGATTATTCAAGGCTACTATGAACATCTTTACTTTGTAAACTAGAAAACTTAGAGGAGATGAATAAATTCCTGGAAATATACAACCCTCCTAGATTAAATCAGGAAGATATAGAATCTATGAACAGACCAATAACAAGCAGGGAGACTGAAATGATAATAAAAAATTTGCCAACAAAAAAAGTCTGGGGCCAGACGGATTCACAGCTGAATTCTATCAGACATTCAAAAAGGGATTGGTACCAATCTTACACTATTTCAAAAGATAGAGAAAGAGGTAGTCCTCCTAAATCATTCTATAAGGCAATATCACCCGAATATCAAAACCAGGGAAAAACAACAAAAAAAAGAAACTACAGACCAATACTCCTGATAAACATAGATGCAAAAATCCTCAACAAAATACCAGCAATCAAAGTCCAACAGGATATCAAAGAGATAATCCGCCATGATCAAGTGGGTTTCATACCAGTGATGCAGGGGTGGTTTAACATACATAAGTCAATCAATGTGATACACCAAATAAACAATTAAAAACAAAAATTACATAATCATCTCAATAGATGCAGAAAAAGCACTTGACAAAATCCATCATCGCTTTATGTTTAAAATCCTCAGCAAAATCAGCATAGAAAGGCATACCTTAAAGTAATAAAAGCCATTTATGGGCCGGGCGCGGTGGCTCACACCTGTAATCCCAGCACTTTGGAAGGCCGAGGTGGGCGAATCACCTGAGGTCAGGAGTTCGAGACCAGCCTGCTTAACATGGCGAAACCCCGTCTCTACTAAAAATACAAAAAATTAGCTGGGCCTGGTAATGTGGGCCTGTAATCCCAGCTACTCGGGCTGCTGAGGCAGGAGAATAGCTTGAATCCAGGAGGTGGAGGTTGCAGTGAGCCAAGATTACGCCACTGCACTCCAACCTGGATGACAAGAGTGAAACTCTGTCTCAAAAAAAAAAAACCATTTACAACAAACCCACAGCCAACATTATATTGAACAGGGAAAAGCTGAAAGCATTCTCTCTGGGAAGTGGAACAAGACAGGAATGCCTACTTTTACCACTTCTATTTAACATAATACTGGAAGTTCTAGCCAGAGCAATCAGATAAGAGAAAGAAATAAAGGGCACCCATATCGACGAAGAGAAAGTCCAGCTGTTGCTCTTTGCTGATGATATGATTGTATACCTAGAAAACCCTAAGACTCATTCGAATGAAAAATTAACTTCATAATCATGGGAAATGTAAAGTTTGTCAAGAAACTATTGTGTATTTATTTTACAATGTTATTTATATTCATATTCTGTTTCTAAACATATTACAGTGGAGAATTTCTCATATTAATGCCACCTGAGTAGCAGATCTTTGAGCAATCTCTGTCAATTTTCTGCTAAAATACATTTAAAGACACAAGGATAAAAACTGAAATATAAGACCCATAGTTTGGGTAAATTATCTACTAATATTAAGAATATAAAGGTATTGAGAAAGAAACCTACCCAACTTCACTTCCTTTCTGACTCTAGGTTTGTTTCATAAAATAGTGTCCTCTGGAAAAGAAAAAAGAAAAAAAAAAGATAAAATAGAATTTATATACTTATCTCTGTGGTAAATAGAAAAATGGCTGCCAAAAATGACCATGTCTTAATCACCAGAACCTGTGAATATGCCATTATACATGGCAAAATGGATTTTGCATAATTAATTAGAGACCATGAAATTGGGAGATTATTCTGGAATATCTGACACACTCAATCTAATCACATGGGTCCTTGAAAGGGGAGAACTGGCCAGGTGCAGTGCTGTAATCCTAGCACTTTGGGAGGCTGAGGGGGGCAGGTGACCTAAGGTCAGGAGTTGGAGACCAGCCTGGTCAATATGGTGAAACCCCGTCTTTACTAAAAATACAAAAATTAGCCCAGCTTGGTGGCATGGGCCTGTAATCCCAGCTACTTGGGAGGCTGAGGCAGGAGAATTGCTTAAACTCGGGAGGCGGAGGTTGCAGTGAGCCAAGATTGTGCCATTGCACTCCATCCTGGGTGACAGAGCAAGACTCTGTCTCAAAAACAAAAAAAAAACAAAAAAGTGGAGAACCTTGTTAAGTTGTGGTCAGAGATGTGGCTTAAGGACTTGATCCATTGTTATTGGCTTTGAAGATGAAAGAAAGATGACATAAATAAATGAATAGGGGCAAATGCTAGGAGCTGAGAATGGTAACAAAGTGGATTCTCTACTATAGTCTCCAGAAACAAAACAAAACGAAACACACAACCATGCCAAACCCTTGGGCTTAGCTCAGTCATACCCATGCTTCAGCCTCCAGGTGTGGGATAACCACATATTACAGCAGCAGTAGAAAACACACAGTTTCTGTATGAGCTTGGATTTACAGACTTAGTATCTATACTAACCAGAAAATTGGGAGGCCTTGTCTTTAACTCCAGAAGGCTGATTTAACTTACTTCCCTATCCACCCAAAATCTCAGGACACCTGCCATCCACAGAAAACACCAGAAAAGTGGACAGGAAGGGTATATGGATATGTTTGTATTTGAGTTGGAAAACTAAAGCCAATCTGCCAATTCACTATTTTTAGTCCCCGTGTCAAGATCTACTTATCTATATATCTACACACACACACACACACACACACACACACACACACACACACACACACACACAATGCATAAAACAACTTCATCGGGTAACTTATCCATTTAACTAGTGAGGGATGTACACATAGAGATAGTACATAGCATGTGACTTGTAAGAGATGGAGCATGGAATTTGAATTCAAGTTTGATACCAAAGGCTTACAAGGTGTGTTTTTTTGTGTGTGTCACACAATTCGGCCACAATAAATAGGTTTATGTCATTCTTTTTTATTAAAATCATGTCCATGCATTTCCTATATTCTAGTTCTTGTGTTATTTTTTATTTTATTGATAATAGCCTTCCTTCATCTCAGAGCTTGTATTCTGGTAGAGATAATCTTTTTTCTATGAGAAACTAAATCTGTATTTTATATACCTATTTTTTTATTAAAATAAACCACAGTAATGGAAAATCCTAATCAAAATGATTTTTAATAAGAAAGTGTATTGGGGTATGTAAGTTAGAAGTCCTGAGGTTGGGTTGGCATCACATAAATCAAATAAGACATGATCCAGGATAACTCAAACATGTTACCAAACGATTTTTTTTTATTTAGTTTTCCACTCCGCTTGTCAAGAAGTTAATTTTCTTCAAAGCTTCTTTCCTTCTTTCTCCACAACGGTTAGTCACCAGTTCTTAAGCTTACATTATCCCTTATTCATGTTTTCAAGGATGAGAAAGTATCTTTGTTCCAGAATTATCATGAAATTCTGAGAGTTATTCTGATTAAACCAATTTAGGTTACATGCTACCCATGAAACACTATTCTTGAGAGATTTAATGCACTGATTGGCTTCTGTTATATATTCCTGGAAATAGAGTCAGCTTTCTAGAATCAAATGAATCCCCCAAAGACAAGCTGCCTTGTTTCAAGGGAAGTGATGTTGGAGAGGTTAATAAGGTAAAGAGAAATATGTGTATAATTAACAAACAGAAAAAATATTGTAAATGTAATTTCCTTGGGGAAAGGATTTTACCTTTTTTAATCGTTTTTAAAATCACTATTCATCATTGCAGAATTCATTTGATCTTGACAAAAGTTTATAATAAATAAAACAAATATATATGTACTTATATGACTATACATATAAAACACCTAAGATACTACAAAGACAAATTATGAGAATTAATAAGTGAATACTGTATTAGTTAATTCTGATGCAACATAAATATACAACAATAAACTTAAATGACAGCAGTGAAAGAATTGAAATTTATAAAAATTTTAAATTTATAGTTGTGGAAAAATATGAACTATACTTGAAATGTTGCTGTGTATTAAATGTTAGTTAAAAAAATAAAATTGGGTCTCTACTCCACACAATATTTAAACAGTTTTTAGGTAGATTAAAATTTCAAAGCAAAAGACAAAATTTCATAATATTTAACAGTAAATTTTAGTCTTTTCATTGCTTAGTATAATAAAGGGTTTCTTAAAGCATTAAAATATAAACAAAGGAAATTATTGATAAATGTAAGTATCATAAAATTTAAATTTTTTCTGTAAGGATTTCATAAAACATACAAGACAAGACACAGAAAGACAGAAAATGTTGCATTGTGCTGTCAACCAATAGTATTCAGACTATGGAGCATTTTGACAATAAGGGAAGACAATACAACAGGAGAATGGACCAAATATGGAAAAGGATGTCCACATGAGAGGAATCATAACTGAACACTAACCAATGAAAAATTATTAACCTTACTAGTAATCAGGAAAGTACAAATTAAAAGCACAGTGAGATAGTATTCTCTATCCATCAGATTGGAAAAATAAAATTCTAAATTGCAATAATCCTACCTCTTGGTATTCAACCCAGAGGATTTTTTGCACATGTACACAAGGTAACAAGTAAACATGCATCTACAATTGTTTTTACCGGGGAAACAGAGAGGATCCAAATGTCTGGTAACATGAAAATTAAAAAAACATAGTGACTGTATTACTCAGCTAAGGCTGCTATAAAAAATACCACAGACTGGACAGCTTACATAACAAAAATTTATTTCTCAGGGTTCTGGAAGTTGGAAGTTCAAGATCAAGGTTTCAGCAGGTTTTGTTCTCCTGAGACCTCACATGAGCTGTTCTCTGTTTGTACCAACCTGGTGTCTCTCCCTTTTCTTTTAATGACACTAGTCCTATTAAATTAGAGGCCCATTCTTGTAATCTCATTTAATCTTGATTACTTCTTTGGAGGCCCTATTTCCTAATACATCACATTGGGGATTAGGTATTCAACATATGAATTTCGTAGGATGCAATGCAGTTCAGTCCATTAAGAGTGACACATTCATATAATGGATCACTGCAGAACAGTGAAAATATATTATCCATAAGGATGAATTTCACAAACAAAATGTTAAGTACAAAAAGCAAGCATCATATAAAGTTTTAAGATATGAAAGTAATGCATATTAATTGCTTTGGAAGAAAGTCATTTATAATAAACATGTAAGTAACTGTACAATAATAATTTAAAAATTCAAAATAGTCTTTCCTTCTGCAGGGGAAAAGATGAAGATTCAATAAAGAATGTGTATACCGTATTGGATACTTCAGCTCAACTGTGTTGAGTTTTTTATTTTTTAGGCTGAGTGCTACATATATGCTTGTTTATTTTACTTTTTTGTTTGTTTGCATTAACTTTTACATTTAAAATATATATAGTGCAATAATTTTGTGTGAAGTAATCTTGTAGAATCTTAGGATACATTGGTAAACATGCTAAGATACCTACTGTCATGAAGCTTATATTCTATTGCAGTAAACAGACAATAAACAGTAAGCAAAACAAAACAAAACAGCCAAATGCATATAGTCCTTGCTGTGGTTTGGACATTTGTTCCATCCAGACTTCACGTTGAAATTTAATCCAAAATATTGAACGTGGGGCCCAATGGGAGGTATTTGGTTCATTAAGGTAGATGCCTCATGAATAGGTTATGCCCTCCTTGGGGAGCATAAGTTCTCATTCTCTTTGTTTCCATGAGTTATAGTTGTTAAAAAGAGCCTGGCACCTCTCCCTTCTCTCTTTTGCTCCCATTTACATCATGTGATCTCTGTACTCAGACCCCCCTTTCACTAGCCAGCCTAAGGCTGTTGACCATAAGATGTCCAACCTTGAACTTTCCAGCCATCAAAATTGTGAGCCAAATAAACCAGGAATACGGATTCTCAGGTATTCCTCTTATTTATTTAGAGACAGTCTTACTCTGTAGCTCAGCTCCCCGCCACCATCCTGGGTTTAAGCTATTCTTTCCTGCCTCAGCCTCCCAAGTAGCTCAAGTACTTGGGATTACAGGCGTGCGCTACCACACCCAGCTAATTTTTGTATTTTTAGTACAGACAGTTTTCCTGTGTTGCTCAGGCTGGTCTGGAACTCTTGGGCTCAAGTGATGGGCCCACCTTAGCCTCTCAAAGTGCTGGGATTACAGGCATGAGCCACCACGCCTGGCCAGGTAATCCTCTTTACAAACAAAAACAGGCTAAGATAACCTTTTAGGAAAAATAAAAATTGAGCATATGTTTTTTTCAAAAGGATATATATTTTTCAGTATTTGTTTTCATGCAGAAGAATTGTTTTCTTTTTATTATATATCTTTTGAATGTTTCTGAATTGATCAGAACTTTTTCTCAAATTCACTGCCACAGTAAATATGTAGGCATTTGTTATATGTTATGCATTTTATATTTAGTTGTAACTTCCTTCTAGATATTTAATTTCAATGCTAATATACTTGTAAACTGACTTAATTCTGTCTTTAAAAATCTTTGGAATATAAACAAATAGAAAGGAGCAAAATATCAAGTAATCCTCACATTGCAAACAGATTGAATATGAAAAGTATATCTGTTAGTTATTCACTTAGAGCATAATACATATGCTCTTTTTTCAGTAAAGTTAAAAATTTTTATCAGCTACCAATAGCAAAATTATGAAGAGCCAATTGAAAAAGTTAATGCCAATGCTAATAAATGATAAAAATATTTTGATTATATTAGTTATTCAAAAATACAAGTTAATAATAATTTAACTTATACCAGCAAATATGTATGTCTATGTCTGCATATATATAATGCAAATTGGGGAATTAGCTTTTACTACCACATATTAAAGAAAACAAGGTATATCCAGATGATACCATCAAAAGCATTATTTTGAAAAATGTTAAAGCACTTAGAAAATACACATACTTTCTAAATACACATATTAGAATATTGAGTGGAAATTGAAGAATACAAAAGTATTTTCTGTGACAAAGTCTTTGTTCCTGATTATGTAATATACACATGCATGCAGAAAGATAAAAATAATGTTTGCCATTTAATGAGCTCTTACTTTGTGTCAGACACTGAGCTGAGGATCTTATCAGGATTATTTCAGTAAATCCTTGTAAGAATCCTTTGAGGTAAGTGCCAATATTATCTACATTTGACAGATGAGATGAATTTTAGAGAGATTAAGTTTACAAACCTAGTTATTGTGGAATCTAGGATATGAACCAAAGAAGTGAGACTCCAGAACCTGTGCTTTTAATTACTGTCCCGACTTGGAGGTCAATTGAGGTTACTCTTTATGATAAAAATATAATTAGTTAGAGATTAAAGTAAGAATCCTGCTTCTAAAGGTAAAGCCCATGCTGTCCCAAATGTTATGCAAATTCCTAGGGGTTTATATTATCATTTTCTTTTGATTCATGGTGGTGATATTCATTATAGCATCATAAACTGTGTATAGGTGAAACCTCTGTTGTTCAGTTGTTGGCTATCCTGAATCTGTAAAATTATAGCTTGCCCCATTTTCCCTTAGGCTAGAGCTTCCTTATCTTGTGATTTTTTTTCTCTCTTCTCACTCTTGTCTCTTCTTTTCTTTTCTCTACCTTATTCTGACTCACTGTTCATTTCTTAAACAGATTAATTTGTTTTCTTCCAAGCATGTTGTCTGAGAGGAATCTTTCAAGACATTTTGCTGGGTGCAAAAATAATTGTGGTTTTTGTCATTACATTTAATGGCAAAAACCGCAATTATTTTTGCACCAACCTGATACTTGCCTGCTACATAAAATGAACAGGATAATCTAAACAGAATTTATATATAGAGAGAGAGAGCAATATACATTTGGGAAAATTTTTGATCTCACTAAGAATTAATGAAAAAATATATAGTCACAATACCATGTTTACCTCAACAATTGGAAAAGCTTTAAAAGATATATTATTTAATACTGAAAAAGGTGTTTTGGCAGGAGTACTCACTGGTGTGACTTTGCACTGCTATTTCTGGAAAGTAATTTGGCACTATATTAAAAATAATCTCAGTACTAAATTCATACACTTTGGCCCAAGAATTCTATAAATATCTTCTAAATGCAAGACAGAAGACTACAGACATTGTAGGTGTTTCAATAACATATATCAGAGCTAGCTTTAATATGAGAGGTTGAGCACCCATGGTTCTAAGTTACACACTGTCAGGAGGTATTCCACAGCAAAATTGTCTAAGGACCAAAAATTACTGCTATAAATGATGAATTATTTTCAAATTACAGAGTCACCAACACAAACAAAAGGAAACAGATATTTTCCTCAAATCTCTACCAACACCACCGCCATGGAAAATGGTGATTCCATGACTAGATGACATTTAACTCTGGTAGTAGACACATCACTGGTTCTCTTTTACTCCCTGAAGTTTGAAGTATTTCAATAGTCAGAGCCCCAATGAGGTTTGCTTAAATGTTCTTAGTCCATGTTCACCCAGAAATGTTTTATATGATAGATCATCAATGTCAGTTGAATCCAAGTTTCTTTTATCCCTAAAGGAGTCTTCAGATGATCACGTGAATTGGCAGATCTAAATTAATACATAGAAAAAGTGCACAAATTCAAATGGAGATATTGGAGGTTGGATATAAACCTCCAGTATCTCATATGAGTAGGAATAGACCTCAGGTTTATCTGACATGTCTTGTTATAAACATGTATATAGATTGTTTATCATTTGCATTCCTGTGTATCTGGAGCTCTCTAGATCTAGTATCAAAAGTAAACTACCTGGCAAATTCAACCTCCATCACCACCTGCTGGGAACTATTTCAAATTGCATCCAAAGACCCTAGAGGACTGATGCTGTTCCTTCTTCTCAGCCACACTCCTTTAGATATTCACTTAGGAATTATAGATAGAGGAGAGGTCGGTGTCACACAACATTTTCAGTAATATTATCGGGAAATTCAGAATTTATTTGTAAATTAATAAATAAGAAACAGGATGAAAGAAAGTTTATACATGAAACTGTGGCATAATTCTACTGAATACTTTGAGGTTTTGTGTTCTTTCTTGTATATTAGAAAAACTAATTACAAAATATTAGTTACTAATGACTTTTCATCAGTGAATATTTATCTACTGGTACACAAAATGCAGAGATGTTTGTAAGTAGTTTATGGTTTATTTTAAAGATTCCAGGTGTTTAGATCATCTGCATATAAATATGACACCCACACAAGCATACAAGTTTATTCACCAGAGTAAATGAGGCCCCTCTAGCTATATACTTTGTACTTTCTTCAGAGATCAATTCAGCAAGAACCACATTATTTATTCAGGGTGACATTAAGATGTTCATTCTTTACAAGAATAAACACATTGATAATGTTTATGCTTCGTTTTCTGTGGAACACCTACACTTAAATACAGCAGAGAAGTGCATGACTTTTTTTTGCATTTTTCATTTCAACATGTGATTATAGCTTTCTGTTTGTGGTTAGTCACTTGTGCAAGATTTCCCAATTTAAGATTTTAAATATTATACTTCTAGCTTTCCAAACAAGTAAACTCAGCATGATTTCATTATTGCTGCTCTTTGATAGAAGTCGATAGTAAAAATTTAAAAATACAGGAGGGCACCAAATTCTGTTTCTCCAAAGAGAGTTGAAAGGAAAAATAAATATAGAAAGCATTGAACATGAGGAAAGTCACAATAGTCATATAAAACTCTGGATAAAACAAACCTCCTAAAGAAACAGATGGGTCTTTTTACAATGAACTGAGCATTTTTATGGCTCACTGGAGCTCATACTATAAAGTGTCAATGAAGAAGAAGATTAGATAAGTCTCTAAACTAAGATTCTGCCTTCGTAAGGGATAGTAAACAACTCCAGGATGTATCCAAAGGGCTTTTTAGTTCCTGCTACACAAACAACAAATATAGAAGACAAGGTATAGCTGAGGCAAGATCCATTCTTTTGTAGTTGGTAAAAAAAAATGGTTCTTTGGTTTCTGGGCTTAGAACCTTCCTGTTGCCTATTTAGGGTTAACATCATTTGCACGTTTAACTCTTTAGGCTCTTGGCCCCAAAGCTATCGCTGATCATTTAATTCTATATGTTTCACTTTCTGATAGAACAGAAGTTATTTCCAGATCCCACAGCAGAGTTTTCTTTATATATATATAAAGGGAGATATATATAGGGATATATATATATATATATAGGGATATATATATAGGGATATATATATATCCCTTTATATATATATGGGTATATATATATAGAGATATATATATATGGATATATATATAAAGGGATATATATATATAAAGGGATATATATATAAAGGGATATATATATATATAAAGGGACATATATATATATATATATATATATATATCCCTTGAAAACCACTGTACAATTACCAAGTGAAAAATTATAAGTGAATTTTTAAACTAGAGAAAAAGATGAAGTATTACTCAAAAATCTGATAGAGGTCAGTAAAAGTCAAGAGGATGTACAATTTATCTTAGATAATTTAAAGATAAAGTGATACCACATTTGCTAGTATTGAAACGGAAACATAAGTATATTTCCAAAATAAAATATAGCCATAAAAGAAATAATTTAACAACAAATATTTTGTTCTAAATAAAATCATACTAACCAATGTAATCGTACTTTGACTAACTGAAGAAAAAATTCAATTTCATAAATACTAACATTTCAAATAATTATAGAACATATCTGATACAGAATATACAGTTAATTTATTGTTACTTTAGAAAAGAGTGTAAAGAAGAAAAAATAATGGTTATATTCTCAAACTTAAAAATTAGAACTACTTCTTCAGAAGGCATATAGTAGTAATTAATCTCAAAATTAAAAGGAATTGTTCTAACATAAGTTGGTATAGAGAAAGTATTTTGAAATTATATTTTAAAATATGTATTTGATTATTGAAAAGGTAAAATTTGCAATTGGAGAAAAATTCAGTGTTATAAGTGGCATACAATGAAAAATCAGCTTGTGCTCCTTTCCCTCCTGGATGCAACCATGATAAAAACCATATGTAAACCAAGATCTTTACATAAATAGAGTGTTCTTTGACATATTTTCTCACATATTATAATGTAAAGTAATCTTAAAAAATTAATGTAGTCCTGGCTTATTTTTTCAGATTGCAAAGCACTCCATTGATGGGCATATTACAGTTTATTTTTAATTTTATAGTTTCTAACATTAGTTCTTATACCCATGTTGACACTACTTGTATTTGTGTGTATCTGTATAAATATATGTATAGATTTTTTACCACATTTTGCCAAATCTTTCCTTTGATTGTAAAATATGGCATTATTTTGGTATCATTAAGAAAGAGAAAACAGCATAAGATAAATAGTATATACCATCAATTATTTAATATATCCAATTTTGGCTGAGCACTGTGGCTCACGCCTGTAATCCCAGCACTTTGGGAGGCCTAGGCGGGTGGATCACGAGCTGAGGAGGTCGAGACCATCCTGGCTAACACAGTGAAACCCCCGTCTCTATTAAAAATACAAAAAATTAGCCAGGCTTGGTGGCGGGCATCTGTAGTCCCAGGTACTCGGGAGGCTAAGGCAGGAGAATGGTGTGAACCCAGGAGGCAAAACTTACAGTGAGCTGAGATCGTGCCACTGCACTCCAGCCTGAGCAACAGAGTGAGACTCCATCTCAAAAAAAAAAAAAAAAAAAAGAAAAAAAATATCCAATTTTAAAGATGTTAAAATATGTCTCATAGTCAATATAATGTAGTATGGTTATGAGTATCTTAGAATCAATGAAATATGGAGTTAAAAAGTGATATAGCTGTGTCAGATTGCCATATTGCCACCTATAGCACCTCAATAATTTACCACACCATTGACAATGCAAGACAATGCCTGTTTCCCCTTTCCAAAAAAGTGCATGTAAATTTTGAATCTTGGCCTATCTCATACATTAAAAAATAGTATATTTTAATATGTAAAAATGACATTGCTATTTCCTGATCCACAAACTGCTCCAGATTTCCAAACAAAAAATGAACACTTTGACAAACAATAAATCTTATTGCACATCTTTTCTGAGGTTGGACAAGAGTTTAATATGCTGTGAGATCTGGGCCCATTCATTTAATTATTCTAAGTCTCAGTTTTTCTTTCTGTAAACTGAAGATAATAATAGATTTTCATGAATTGTCATAATATTGAGTAAAACTAATGAAGGTAGGCTATTTCTGGAATTTAGTGGTACTCTTTGTGTATTAGACATTACTATTATTATCACTGTGTCTCGAATTGGTTACTTCCGGTGGGTTCTTGGTCTCGCTGACTTCAAGAATGAAGCCGTGGACCCTCACAGTGAGTGTTACAGTTCTTAAAGATGGTGTGTCCGGAGTTTGTTCTTTTAGATGTTCAGATGTGTCCGGAGTTTGTTCCTTCCGGTGGGTTCATCGTCTTGCTGAGTTCAGGAGTGAAGCTGCGGACCCTTCCAGTGAGTGTTAAAGCTCTTAAAAGGTGGCATGTCCAGAGTTGTTTGTTCCTCCCAGTGGGTTCGTGGTGTTGCTGACTTCAGGAATGAAGCCGCAGACCCTTGCAGTTGAGTGTTACAGCTCATAAAGGTAGTGCGGACCCAAATAGTGAGCAGCAGCAAGATTTATTGTGAAGAGCGAAAGAATAAAGCTTCCACACTGTGGAATGGCACCCAAGTGGGTTGCTGTTGCTGGCTCCAGTGGCCAGCTTTTATTCCCTTATTTGGCCCTGCCCACATCCTGCTGATTGGTCCATTTTACAGAGAGCTGATTGGTCTATTTTACAGAGTGCCGATTGGTCCATTTTACAGAGTGCTGATTGGTGCGTTTACAATCCTTGAGCTAGACACAGAGCGCTGATTGGTTTGTTTTTACAGAGTGATGATTGGTGCATTTACAGTCCTTTAGCTAGACACAGAGTGCTGATTGGTGCGTTTTTACAGAGTGCTGATTGGTGTATTTACAATCCTCTAGCTAGACAGAAAAGTTCTCCAAGTCCCCATTTGACCCCGGAAGGCCAGCTGGCTTCACCTCTCACTGCTACTACTGATACTGCACTTAAGAATGGAGAAATATTTTAATTCGCTTACAACATTTTTTATTCAGAGTGAGCTTTTAAGTAAGTGAGTGCATATACAGTCAACCCTTGAACAGTGGAAGAGTTAGGGGTACCGATGCCTTGTGGAGTTGAAAAGCCATGTACACGGCCGGGCACGGTGGTCACGCCTATAATCCCAGTACTTTGGGAGGCTGAGGTGGGTGGATCACTTGAGGACAGGAGTTTGAGACCAGCCTGGCCAACATGGTGAAATCCTGTCTCTACTAAAAAGACAAATAATTAGCCAGGCGTGGCAGCGCATGCCTGTAATCCCAGCTACTTGGGAGGCTGACGTAGGAGAATTGCTTGAACTCAGGAGGCAGAGGTTGCAGTGATCTGAGATTGCACCACTGCACTCCAGCCTGGAGGACAAAAAAAAGCAAATCCGTATACCTTATGATTCCCCTACAACTTAATAGCTTACTGTTGACTGGAAGCCTTACTGATAACATAAACAGTTGATTAACACATATTTTGTACCTTATATGTATTAAATACTGTATCCTTACAATAAAATAAGCGAAAGAAAATGTTATTGAGAAAATCATTAGGAAGAGAAAAGAAAATGTATTTCCCATTAGGTGGAGGTGGATCGTCATAAAAATCTTCATTCTTGTCTTTACTTTCAGTAGGCTGAGGAGGAGGAGAAAAAGGAATTCATCTTGATGTCTCAGGGGTGGTAAAGGCTGAATAAACTCTGTGTATAAGCCTACCGGCCCAGTTCAAACCTGTTTCGTTCAAGGGTCTACTGTATAATGGGTAAGGGAAAAAGAATAAATCTTTTTGGGATGCCATTTTCACAACAATAAGTATTGTGTTCAATTTACAAGGTGATGTCAGAAGAGGTTATATTAAAAAGAGATAATCACAATGGAGTTTTAAAACTGAGAAATAGTTATTTCATTTAATTATAATGGGTCAAAACCAACATAGTTTTTCAGATTTTTCAGGAAATAATGTGTATTTCATTGGGTAAAACAGAAAAAGTCATATTTGTGCTGATGTGTATTACATAAACCAAAATATAAATTATATGCTTGTCTGATTAGAATATTTTCTTTAATTTCTTTAATTTTACTTTTTATTGACAAATAATAATTGTGTATGTTCGTGGGGCATTATGTGATGTTTTGATGTTTCCTTACAATGTGTAATGATTAAATAAGACTAAGTCCTTCACCTCACATAATTATTTTTTATGATGCCAATTTTTAAAAATCTATTCTTCTAACAATTTTAAAATAGATAATACACTATTATTTATTATAATCACCATTCTGTAGGATAGATCACTAAAACGTCTTTCTTCTATCTAATTGAAACTTTGTACCCTTTGATCAACATGTACCTTTTCCCCACTGACCACCCTCCCCTATCCCCTGGCAATCCCCATTCTACTCTCTGCTTCTATGAGTACAACTTTTAAAGATTCCACATATAAGTGAGATCATGTGGTATTTGTCTTTCTGTGCCTGGCTTATCTCATTTTGCACAACATCCTCCAGGTTCATCCACGTTGTTGCAAATGACGATATTTTCTCCTTTTTACGGATGAATAATATTTCATTATTTACACAAACATACCTTAGATATATTGTAGTTTGGTTACAAACAGCCATAATAAAGTAATATTGCAATAAGGCAAGCCACATAAATTTTTTCTGGTTTCCCTGTGCATACAAAAGTTATGTTTACACTATACTGTAGTTAAGTGCAATAGCATTACGTCTAAAAAGTATATACTTTACTTAGAAAGTACTTTATTGCTAAAATGTTAACAGTCATCTGAGCCCTCAGTCATAAGTTTTTTCTTGTAGAGTATCTTGCCGCAAGGTTGATGGCTGCTGACTGATGAAAGTGGTGGTTACTGAACGTTGGGGTAGCTGTGGCAATTTCTTAAAATAAGAATGCAATAAAATTTGCCACATTGATTGACTCTTCCTTTCATGAAAGATTTATCTGTAGCAGATAATGATATTTGATACTATTTTACTCACAGTAGACCTTCTTTCAAAATAGAAATCAATGCTCTCAAACCCTGCTGCTGCTTTATCAACTAAGATTACATAATATTCCAAATCCTTTGTTGTCATTTTAACAGCGTTCACAGCATCTTCACCAGGAGTAGATTCTGTCTCAGGAAACCACCTTCTTTGCTCATTCATAAAAAGCGACTCCTCATTCATTAGTTTTATCATGAGATTGCAGCAATTCAGTCACATTTTCAGGCTCCATTTCAATTCTAGTTCTCTTGCTATTTCCACAACATCTTCAGTTACTTCCTCCACTGAAATCTTAAACCCCTCCTTTCCCTTGGACACTTAGAAGCCATTTTAGGGTTATTAATTGGCCCAATTTCAATATTGTTGTGTCTCAGGGAATAGAGAGGCCAGAAGAGAGGGAGAGAGGTGGAGAACAGCCAGTTGAAGGAGCAGTCAGAATACAAGCAGCATTTATTGATAAATTTGCCATCTTATATGGGTGCAGTTCATGGCATCCCCTAAACAATTACAATGTAACATCAACGATCACTGATCACCATAACAGATATAATAATAATGATAAACTTTGAAATGTTGTGAGAATTATCAGCATATGACATAGAGACACAAAATGAGCACATGCTTTTGAAAAATGGCACTTAGACTTGCTCACTGTAGGCGTGACACAAACATTCCATTTAAAAAATAAAAATCTGTGAAGCAAAATAAAGCGAAGTGCAATAAATGAGGAATGCTTATATATACAACATGCTTTTTATTCATTATTTTGATGGTGGGTACCTAGTTTTCCATATTTTAGCAATTGTGAATAATGCTGCAATGAATGTGGGAATGCAGGTGTCTCTTTGGCATGCTGAATTCAATTATTTGTATATATACCCACATATGGGATTGCTGGATTATATCATAACTCTATTATTATTTTTATGAGAAACCTTTATACTATTCGGAAATGGCTGTATTAAATTTATTTTTCCACCGACAGTGCACTAGGATTCTTTTTTCTGCACACTCTAAGCAATACTTGCTATCTTTTGTCTTTTTGTTAGTAGCCACTCAAACATGTGTGAGGTGACAACTCATTGTGGTTTTCATTTGCATTTCCCTAATACTTAGTGGACATTTGTATGTCTTCTTTTGAGAAGTGCCTGTTTAAGTCCTCTGCACATTTTCTGATGGATTGTTTTCTTGCTATTCAGTTGTTCAAGTTTCTTATATGTTTTGGTTATAAAATCTTTATCAGAATTATGGCTTGCAAATTTTCTACCAATATATGGGCTGGTCCATTCCTCTATTGATTGTTTCGTTTGCTGTATAGAAACTTTTTAGTTTGATGTAATTCCATTTGCTTATATTTGCTTTTGTTGCCTGTGTTTTTGGGGTCATATTCAATAAATCTTTATCAATGTTGAGCATTTTTTTCTATGTGTTTTTCTAATAGCTTTATAGTTTCAGGTCTTATGTTTAAGACTTTATTACATTTTGAATTAATTTTTTATATGTGGTGTTAAGGTTCTAATTTCATTCTTTTGCATGTGGTTATCCAAAATTTTTAGCACAATTTATTAAATAGACTATTTTTTTCCCTATTATGTATTCTTGGCTTCTTTGTTGAATATCAACTGACCATAACTGTGTATATTAATTTCTAGACTCTCTATTTCATCCCTTTGTTCTATGTGTCTGTTTTTATGCCAGTTTCAAAACAAAGCCATGCTATTTTGATTGTCTTTGGAACAGATTTTGAAGTCAAGTAGTGTTATGCTTCCACTTTTCTCATTTTTGCACAAAATTGCTTTGGCTATTTTTGTGGTTTCATATAAATTTTAGTATTTTCCTATTTGCTTGAAAAAATGATCTAAGAGTTTTGATAGGATTGCATTGGATCTGTAAATCACTTTGGGTAGTATGGAGTTTTTAATAATATTAATTCTTTCAATCCATGAACATGAGGTAACTTTCCATTCATTTGTGTCTTATATAATTTTTTAATCAATGTTTTATAGTTTTCAATATACAGATATTTCATCTAGTGGGTTAAATTTACTGCGACGTATTTTATTGTCTTATACCATTGTTAATGGGATTGATTGCTTAATTTCCTTTACTAAGAGTTTATAGTCAGTGTGAACACATACTACTGATTTTTGCTTGTTGATTTTGTAACCTGCAATTAAGCTGAATTCCTGTATCTGTTCTAACAGTTTTTTGGTGAAGTCTAAGATTTTCTATATTTAAGATCATGTCATAAACAAACAGAAATTTCATTTATCTCTTTTTTTTTATTTGGATGTATTTTGTTTCTCTTGTCTACTTGCTCTGGCTAGAACTTTCATTATTATGTTGACTAGAAGTGGTCTTTCTACTTCTAGTCAAGTTGTCCTTGTCTCTGATTTTGGAGGAAAAGCTTTTGACTTTTCCTTATTGAGTATAAAATTAGCTGTGGCCTTTTCATAAATGAACTTTAAGGACTTTATTGTGTTAGAGTACGTTTCTTTTATACTTAATTTGTTGAGAGTATTTTTTTTGTTATGAAAGGATGTTGAATTATGTCAAATGCTTTTTTTGCACTTATTGAAATAATGATATGGCTTTCATCTTTTATGTTAATGCAGTATAACACATTTATTAATTTGTGTATGTTGAAACAGTCTTGCATCCCAGGAATAAATCCCACTTAATCATGGTGAATCATTGTTTTATTGTGCTGTTAAATTTGGTTTGCTAATATTTTGTTAAGGAATTTTACGTCCAAGTTCACTGAGGATATTGACTTGTAATTTTTTTTTTCTTGTAGTGTCCTTGAGTAGCTTTTTATCAGGATAATGCTTGTCTTGTAAAATGCATTTAAAAGAATTCCTTCTTCAACTTCTGGGAAGAGTCTGAGAAGATTAATATTAGCTCTTTTTAAATGTTTAATAAAATTTTGTTACAAAGCCATCTTGTCTTCGGCTTTACGTTGATAGGCGATCTTTTTTTGTTATTGATTCAGTCTCTTGCCTTGTTATTTGTCTGTTCAGACCTGCTGTTTCTTCTTGATTCGGTCTATTTAGGTTTTATGTTTCTAGGGATTTATACATTTCTTCTAGGTTACCAAATTTGTTGGCATAATATTATTCATATTAGTATCTTATGATCCTTTACTTTTCTGTGATATTAGGTGTCATATCTCCTCTTTTGTTTCTGATTTTATTCTGGTTAGAATTTTGAAATCCAAATTTAGAAAGGTTATGTTCATGGCATACTATTTATTGCTACAGAATTACAATGGTAAATTTAAAAATGGCTTAAGAATTAAACTACATTGATAATCCTTATTCATGAGAAATGAGTATAATGTGAATTATTAAACTAATTTTTATTACAGTCTTACAATAATTTATAAATATTTTAAGTTTTGTCTTAAATGTGGTATCATTTGCATAAAAAGTGACATTACATATATGTGTATGTGATTTGTAATCTTCTAAATTTGATTGGACATTTTAATATAAAAATAGCAAAGGAGTTACAATAGTAACAAAAGTCGTAATTTCTATAATTTGTATATTTAGTTAATATAACCTTGTTCTGTGCTTCTGTAACCTGTTAAGACCCACCAAAAATTCTAATCTCTTGAAGGCTGCAGATCATAGTAATATGTGACATTTACATTGTGCTGTATATGACAGACATGCTGATGAATAATTTAAAGACATTATTTTATTTAATTCTTACAGTAAACCTATGAGGTAAATATCATTATACCTACTTTATAAATAAATAAAACTGAGAAAGATTAAGCAATTTCCTCTCATAGAACTTATTTATCTAAAATTACATTATCTTTAGCTGCTTTTATAGTATGACTAGTCACTTATTCATTTATCATTTATCCATTTACTCGCTCATTTATTTGTGCCACTAAATGAGAAATTTGTTTGTACCAAAATTGTGCAAAGAATTAGAGGCACACTTGTGAGTAAGGGAGAGTATATAGTTTATTGAAGGAGTAATTGAAGGTAATTACATTTTAAGAATTATGAATTATAATGTATAAAGTAGAAAGAAAATAGATTTTTAGGAACCTATCTTTATAGGTCAGGATTTTAGTAACTAATCATAAAGGACACTTTAAAGGAGATCTATCAGATAATTTAAATTTGTACAGTATTGGGGAAAAAAAACCAATCTTGGATACTATACAGAGACAAAACTCCACTGTTGTTGATATACATTGCCTCAAACTTATTAATCTAATATCTAGGAAATCAACTAGTAGAATTTAACACAGATATTTTAGAGGAATAAAATACTTCCACCACATGATCTATTCTCCCTAACTCTATTTTCCTTTGCTTCATCATTTTTTATATGTGGTCACATGGGAACTCCAGATAAAAGGGGAATCTAGGAAACTTAATTTTGACTTTCTGGTTTCTATAGAACACATACTAGAAGATTGAAGTGAACTCTGAGTCAGAATATCCACCTTATCTGACACATCTTGGCTTTTAATATATTCTAAGTTTTACTGGAGTAAAATGCATTAAATAAGGATAAAATAAACAAAGGAAGACCCCACCTAGGCCTATTTTTAATGTTTATAAATATGTGCCATAAGAATAGACTACAAATATCTACATTATGCAGTAGTATTAACTTACATTTACATATTCTATGCTCTTGTTATGTGCATATAGTATAACCTATATTATGTAAGGTAATTAGTACAAAGAAAAAATAATGAGTATGTGTGGGATATCCAGAATACATCAAGAACTCTCACAACTCAACACCAAAGAAAAAACAACCCAATTAAAAAATGGGCAAAGGACTAGAGTAAACATTTCTTCAAAGAAGATATACAAATAATCAAAAAGTACATTTAAAAAATGCTTACCATGGCTAATCACTAGGGAAATGCAAATTAAAACCGTAATGAGATACCACTTCACAAACATAGGGTAGCTATTATAAAAAACAAAAAGAAAAACAAACAAACACAAAACCTCATAAAACAGAAACTGTTGGTGAGGATGTGGAGAAATTTGAACCCTTCTGTATTGCTGGTAGTAATATAAAATGGTGCAGCCACTATAGAAATAGTATAGACGTTTCTCAAATTATTAAACATAGAATTTACATGTGATTCAACAATTCCACTTCTGGATACATAGTTAAAAGACCTGAAAGCAGGGACTTGAATAGATCTCTACACCAATGTTCAGTACTCACAGCAGCCAAAAGGTGGAAACAGCTCAAATGTCCACTGACTGAATGTGGTGTATACAATGGAATATTATTTATCCTTATAAAGGAATACAATTCAGATACATGCTACAACAGGAATAAACTTTAAAGATATTTTGCTAAATGAAATAAGCCAGGCACAAAAGACCAAATATTGTATGATTCCACTTGTATGAGGTACCCAGAGTGCTCAAACTCATACACGCAGAAAGCAGAATGGTAGTTACCAGGGTCTAGGATGGATGGCAAGTTGTTTGCTAATGAGTTCAGAGTTACAACTTGGAATGAAGAAGAAGTTCTGAAGATTAATAGGAGTGACAGTTGCACAACAATGTGAATGTGAATTATACACTTAAATATAGTTAAAATGGTATATTTTATGTTAGATATATTTTACTATAATGAAAAAGTTTATGTGTCATTTAATACTGTGGTTGAGATTATTTTGTTTTAAAAATTTAGAATAGTCTTTTAACTTTACATAAAATTTGCAAATATATACTTCTTTAACTCACAGGTAGTTTACTGTATTGATAATATCTTCTATTGATATGCTACATTTGTAAAAAATAATGAAACAATGATGATATATATTAAAGTTCAAACTTTGTTAGGATTTCCTTGTTTTTACCTAATGTCCTTTTTCTGTTCTAGGTCACCAGCTAGGATACCATGTTAACATTTAGTTATTATATCTCTTAACCTCCTCTAAATTGTGACAGTTTTTCAGGTTTTCCTCTTTTTTAATAACCTTGATAGTGGTGATCAGTACTGGTCAGGTGTTTTGTAGAATATCCCTCAATTTGGGTTTGCCTTGTGTTTTACTCAGAAACTAAGGATATGGGTTTTTGGGACGATCACAAATGTAAAATGCCATTGTCATCACATCACATCAAGGCTATATTCTATCAACATGCCTTATGAAAGTTGACTGTATTCTATCAACATGTTGATGAAAGTCTTTTACCTGGCTAAAGTACTCTTTGTCAGGTTTTTCCTTTGTAAACAATGTTCTTCTCTCTTTCCATACTGTGCTCTTTGGAAGAAAGTCATTATATGCAGCTCATACTCAAGCACTTGTAAGTTGCACTCTACCTCCCTAAGGAAGCAGTATCTACATCAACTATTTGGAATTCTCCCGCACAGGAGATCTGATTAGTCCCCTTCACTTAAAAAATATATTCAGTCATCCATTGATATCAGGATGGAGTCATGGATATTTATTTTATACTTTGGATTATAATCCAATACTCATTTTCTTCTACAAACCACTCCAGATTTGACCACTGGGAAATCATTTGCTTTTCTCCTGTGTCTCTTTGATATGTCCTCATCATTTTTAAAAATCACTTCCTTACTTTCTGGCATTGCAAAGATGCTCCAGGCTCATCTTGTATATTCCATGTCCCAGCCCTTGAATTAGTCAGTTCTCTAAGGATCCCTGATACCTTTTATTGGGGAAGGTAAAGATAATGCAAACCAAGATCTGAGCACTGGGTGAGTTTGCTGCTACTGCAGTGTCACAGTGTCTAGACTCTTCCGGCCGAGAGAGTTTGGAAATCTATGTGTGTATACTAACCTAATACATGGGTGTATGCACAGGCTACTATACACATATATCTATAACTTTCACTATATATGTCCACCTGTATGTATATTATGCTAAACATATGTTTATATTTAATTCGATGACTCCAACTCTAATCCAATGTTGTGTGAGTCATTCTAGACTTCTTCCCTTGCTTATCTATAATCTCTCTCTTCATCGGTGAGAAACATGATTCCCACCATCTGCTATTCATTTACTTGTTTGTTCAGTTCAAGTATACATGTATAGTAGTTTCAAAATTGTTAACATGTACTCCTTTGAAAAATGAACTTTATCAAATAATGTACAGTGTTTATGTATAGTTCCTTTTGCTTTTAGTCATTTAGATTCCACTCTATTCAAAATTTAATTAGGTCAGCACATTTTCCCTCCACACTTGAGGAGTTATTTTGTAAATTGGTCTAGGAAGTTCTCTGCTGAGGTGACTTTTGATGAGCAGATCTGAACTGAGGGAGGTAATAAGCCACATGGAAATTTGGTGATATAGCACTGCAGTTGGAGAGAACAAGTTCAAATGAGGAAGAAAGGGAATTGTAACAGCATCACAAAGGAATTTAGTTTGGATGTAACTATGAAGCTTATGGAAATTAATAGGTAATATTTATTATCCTAAACCATTAGTGGGATATTGGAATAACACACTGGTTTTCAAAAATCATGAGCTTAAGAATTATCTAGGTGCTTGTTAAAAACTTAGAACATTCTGAAACAAAATGTTTTGCTTAAAAAAGCTAGTGTCTTTAGACTAGCAAGTTCTAGTGTCTCTAGAGCCTTATTCTCATTGTTTAGCTCTACAAGAGGAATAACAACTATTACAGTTTCTTATGTATGCATTCAGAAATATGAGTATAGCATGTGCTGTTTGTGTAAATAAACTCGCACACGTTAAAGATTTTGTGACAAAACAGAGATTAATGGATGCCACACCTCAAAGTATCTGATAGAATACATTTAGTCTGGGGATAAGAATCTGCATTTTAAATAAGCACCCTAGGTAATAGTGTCTCAGGTTGTCTAGGAATCAGACTTGGAGAAACACCAGCTAAAGCAGTAGGAAGCCATCAGCTGTGTGAAGTAGAAATAAGCATAGAGCCTAGAGTTGACTTTAATGGTGAACAATGAGCAATTGTGCTGAGAAACAAAGGAGAGTGGATGAAGAACACAGCAGCCTGCCTCCACAGCTTTGGGTAAGCAGAGATCAGGAAAGCTCATCAGTGGAGAGGATCTTTTCAAACTCAAATTTTGTAAGCAAATTATGTGTCTGAAGATAGGATAAATTTATGATTATAATTTACATTGTGATTATTAGAGGCAGTATAGCATAGTGCTTTTGGAGCGAGACCACTTAGGTGGGAATCCTGGCTCTGACAATTACTAATGATACAACCTGGGAAATTACCTTAACATGTCTCTGCCTTTTCCTGTCCATAAAATGGATATAACAATAGTACTGACCTCACAGGAGCATTAATTCAGTAGCACTAGGTTCATAATAAGAGATCAAAGAATAGCAACTCTTATATATTTGGTTGCTTGTAAACATGACGGTGTTTATTTGTGTAGAGTATTTTACTTGAAAATGGGTATATGTCTAGGCCTATATCATTGAAGAACTCTACATTAAGTATTCTATTTAGCCTTGTCAGGCAATACAAAAATATATCATGAAAATATATTTTGCTTTAATGGAAATACTAGCTTATTCTTATTCTATGAGACTGTGCATGAATAGAGATGCTAGATATAATATGAAATAATCTACTCAACTAAAGATGGTTAGTTCTTTAGTTTTCAGGTGTAGAAAGAACAAACAATGTAGTCATTTTAACGTGACCTAGATGAAATTTCAGGAGAGGTCTTGAAAGGTGATAGATGTTTAATTCTGGATAATATTCACCTTATTGGTTTATTTGAAAGCAAAAGGACAGTCTAGGATTATCTAGGATCTTTCCAGCATGTCCTAGATTAACTTTTAAAGAATTTTCTCAAAATATTTAACCCTGGGAAAAAAAGCTTTGGGTTCAATAGTCTAGTTCACAGTTCACAAATAATTGGTTCTGGGTGCAAGCTAGAAGTTTGAATTTATGGTGTTCTATAAATATGAAATTTAAGTATTAACTATTGTTCCATCTGTTATCCCTCTAGAAATGATAAAATGATAGAAGTTCTAGTCTTAGGGAAAGTTGTTTCATGTGATGGCAGAGAAATTGGCATTTCATCGGAAGACTACAAAACGTGGAAAAAAAAAGATTATTTCGCCAAGGTGATATTTCTTCTCCTGAGTAGAATCATCCATCTCCTTTCTATGTGGTATGTTTACATACCAGACACACTTGATGGTTGGGTGTTGCTGTTATCACAGTAGGAAGATTTCTCACTGAACCCTATGCTTTCTGGAAGTAGGTCCTTCATGGTTTCCACTGTGCTTAGTGGGCCCAATGCTAGAGGCTTTCTAATCCAGTTTCCCTTTTGTAAGGTAGAGGAAGAGTTATTACCTAGAGAAATGCAATAGAGAATATGACCTTATGGTTTCAATACCCTTACTGTAGACATTTGACCAATCCATCTTTCAGTATCAAGCTTCACCTCCACCTTCCCCTTCAGCCAGTGACTTCAGTTCCTGAGCCTTTCTATAGTTGTGCTTTATGAACAGTTTTGCCTCTCACTGTCTTCTCTCACTGCAGTCAGTTTTTCAGCTTTCTCTGTTCCCTTTCCTTTTTCATCTTCACCTTGTAAAAAATGTTGAAATCTTGTCTATCTTGGTTGCCTTTCTAGTTCTATTTCCGTTTGTGTATTTATATGTATATTTTTAACTGATGTAATGGAATTTGAAGTGTGCGCAGATATAAACATATATATTCAACATCCCACGTTGATTCTGAAGTAATCCAATAAAATACACACTTCTATTGCACAATCCTCATTTTGTGTGCATATAGCTACTAAAATTATAGATTAACTCATTTGTCAAAATTGCCTGCTGAAATTATATTGTTTATTCATTTAACTGAATTGCTTAGTATGAAAATAATTCAGAATCTTAAAGAAGTCTAATAGCAAATATTTTTTATGAAAAGTATCCTTATGATCTGGCATTTTTATAAAGAGACTAACCATAATTTTACTTTTTGCTTCCTTATCTTTCTAGGGTTCTCAACTTTAAAAATAATATTATTTTTGATAAACAAGCACCACACTGTTCATACAATTCTTTTATGTTTTTTTCTTTTTGTTTCAAGGACTCTTTCCATTTTTCCCATTTATCTATCGAAATCCTAACTATTCTTCCAAATACTTAAAAAACACCATACGTTTTCCACTTTTTTAACCAGTCAATATATCTCCTTGCTTTAAAACACCAAGACAAGTTTTCAATTCATCGAATCTATTAAAATCTCACTGACAATATCCTAGTCCACATCTGCATTGTCTATTTCTTGAACTATGGTAGGATATTTATGTATGTGTGTGTGTTTATTTTTTTTTTTTGCCACTAATCTTTCCCTCTTAAAGCATTCCCTGTTCTTCTATAAGAACTATTCTCCACATAACTTTTAAAAATCATTTCCTTTCCAAACAACGTATCTTGTTTTGCTCACAATTACAGAATAATACCAAGCACTGCAACATGGATATTCTTCCAGTTTTGCCCTTCTGGCTTCTTACACTCCTCCGTGTCTTCATTCCTACATCATGATAATATCTTTGACTCCAGGAAATGCTTGTATTTCATGTACAAATAGGTAAAAATTTACTAATAGAAAATTAATATTTCTTCTGACAATACTAAATGAATATTGCACTAATGTTTACATTAAAAGATCACCAGAATATTCTACTGATAGACTAAGTAGGATTAGTTTATCATTTATTAAATGATGACAAGGAGAAGAAAAAGTCAAAGGTGACTAATGCTTGAGGCTGGGCAATTGGTAACACAGTGTTGCCAGTAGCAGAATTCAGGGACTATGCAAGGAGGGAGATTTAGGCAGAGGTAATATGTTCAGTTTGGAAATAGGTTGCTTATGAGGACACAGTAATAGAGACAACATAGTAGAGTTGGAAATGTTACCATAAAGATTTAAGGAGGGTCAGGCTGATACATGTGCATTGAAAGTAATTTACATTAGGGTAAATGTCATGAAACAATTTAAATTACTGAATATTATACTAATTAAAATATTTAATTTAAGCCATCTTTTATATGAGGCAAATATCTTTTACTGTGACATCTTTATGTAAATAATAAATATTAGAAAAATCATGGAATCTCTTATAAATGATTCACTTGTTACATATTTTTTTCTTAAATCAACCTCCCTTGCTAAAATTATAACAAATGCACCTACTTAAAAACAAAATACAAGATTGTATTATTATCATTTAATCCAAGAAAAATAATAATACAAAATGAAGTAGATTCTTTCTGATATTCAAATGCCATTTCAACAGTGGTATGCAGTATTGTGCCTCATGGTTGTCATGGCAACTGCGTCTCAATTCTAGAGTATCAAATCCTCATTTTCTATGAATTTCCAAAAGAAAAAAAAGGTATAAAGTAATCAATTATATAATGGTCCTCTTTATCTTTTATTTTGATGCACCACATTTCATATGATATGAAATACACTTCAAATAAAGGGATAACTAATATCGATGTTGAAAATTTGAAAATTTAAATTAGACTAGTAGGTTATTTATTGTTCACTCATTTTAAAATTTAAATTGCACTAATAGGTTATTTTATTGTTCATTTTATTTATTGTTCACTCTCTGAAAACTAATACCCTAAATTTCTTCAAAAAAAGTATTATTTTCCAGAAAACTATTTCCATCTTCTACTTAATATTAGTTATCTAGTCAATAACTGGTTGAGGTTTTTTGAAGGAGTAGTAATGATTATGACTGGTTCTATTTTAGCTACACCCAGATCACATAGGAAATAACAATTTAATATTCCCTTATTTTCTAGCTTTCTCTTTGAAACCCAGATGCCTAATGTACTGAATAACTATTCTTTATATGTTAAAATATTACTCTGTATAACAACAGTCTACATACAGGATCAATAAAAATGTCTCATGTCAGTATTTTGTTTATTATGAAAAAATAATTTCCCAGCCCCAATAAGTATTTTTATTTTAACTCGTAGCAAACCAAGTGTATATTTGCATGTAAATGAGGTTATAGAACTTTTAAATAATAACTGTAGGTCCAAAAAATTAAAGTATTAGGAGAAGAATTGAAAGATTTTAATGGTCAGTCACAGGGTCTGTTTGCTATGAAGGTAGAAATACACCTTACTTAGAATAGCCAAAGTTGAATGAATATATAAAAGAAATACTTCCAAGAGAATTTATTGTTTAATACATTAATGTAGACTATTGACCCTATTAAAATCTAATGCTCCCCCATACTTGAATGTTTTGATAATTTTATGTAGTAATTTGCCTTATTACAGAATAATAAAAAGAAAACCACAGGATAGGAATTGGCATACTTTTAAAACCAATAGTTTTAATATAATAAACTTATATTTTTATTACTAAGTATTATTTTATCTAGAAATACTGTAAGAATTTTTATATAAGGAATTAGAATATAAAAATGTATACATCAAATTAGGCTTCCTCTAGAATACATTTCTATGAATATTTCAAGCAATGCTGGGCCAAAAGTGGCAGCATTGATTTCTTCCTCAGCAAGGAAATAGGTAATGCACATAGCCGGTGACAACGTGCCAGCCTTATGTTGATGGAGATAGCCTTCTCATCTATTTGTGACTGCATGCAGCCAGGAAATAAACCATTTTGGCTGAAATGACTGGTTTTTGTCGTCCTTCTCATTTTGCTGAACTCACTATTAAAAAAAAATTTTGAATCAATAAGCTATTCAGGCAATCGTGCAGATATGACTTTTAATTCTTAAGTCGATTTAACATGTGTTGAATTTTAGCATGAATCTAATCAGAGGAGAGGCCATTTCCAAGCAGTGAGCTCCAGGCTAAGATTTCCTTGCAAATAGCTCTAGAAATCCTTGTATTAAAATATGACTCTGCCTTAGCAAGGGAAAACATCATGTTGTTGAAAGGTACCTCCCAAAATTAAGACTTTTGGAATAACGTTTACTTACATCATCCAGGTACTGGCCATCCTGTTTTTATCTGGGACTGAGAACTTTTAAATTTCTGGTTTTATAAAACATTTTATTTTAAAGCCATTTTTGCTTTAATGATGACTTCAAATGCTTGGATTGCTTTCTTATATATTCAAAAGAACCGGAGGTTTGGGTGAAACAGGCCACTCAAATGTAATTCCAATACTATATAGTTGTGTTGTGTAACATTAAACAATAAATCATGATATTATGGTAATTTTGTCTGAAAGCAAGAATAATTATTATAATTCAGAAAGCTATCATGAGAAGTAAAAGAAAATAAAATGGTAAAACACCTGGTACAGTGCCTAGGACAAAATAGGCATCTGGTAATTAGCAATTTCCTTCTTTCTTCTCACTCTCCACTCTGGTCTCAAGTGGGCAATTGCCTTGAACTTTGCCTGTCATTTAATGTATAGATTCTTCTGGACAACAAGAAAGGAATCAGGCTTAAGGATATGTTGAATAGAGAAGTAAAATTTCTCAGAGCAAGTATTTCAAGTAGGTTATAAATATCACAAAGAAATTCATGTAATGATAGTTTTTGGAACATCTGCACAAACAAAATAACCATCTAAGTAAACAGAAGAGCAGGGACTGTTATTTTTTTTCCTGCAGATATTTGGCTTGAGCAGCTACTCTTTGATTTATATAATTTTATCATTATGCTGCAACTGCTTTCATTCTGAATTATTCATTCAACATAAGCTGGCAATAAAGGCAATGCCTTTCTTCAGCTAAAAATTCTCTGACAGTAAGAAGGTGGTTTAAATGAACCATGGAGTTTTTTTCTCTCCATTTTATGGTCTGAATAGATGTTGCTCTTGGACAAACCACGTTTTGAAAAAATTATCACAGCTTTAAGAAAAGCTACACACACACACCAATAGAATAGTCTTTGAGCCATGTCCTTGAATGGCCACTAGTTTCTTTTCTTGACTGCCTGCTTTTATGGAGAGAGTTTCATTGAAAGGCCTATAATGAAAATAACAGCACGAATATTGGCTTCTGCTGCTAAAGTTACTCCAGATGGTTACATTTTTTTTTCTAGAAAATGCATGTGTGCACATACAATTAGTTTTCATAGCCTGTGCTTTTACACATGAAACCAGGGAATAATGAATCATTAGTGTAATATTTTGGTCTTTATCAATAAAGTCCATATTAATATAAATAGCACATGGAAACTCAAGCAACTTTTTTTGTTTGGGTTTAATATTTTAAACCTAAATATTTACAGGTTATGTGATGCTTTTTGTTCTTGTTTTTTGTGTATAAGGCAGGCACTGGCTATACCACATTGAAATTATGTAAATTCTATTATTTAGTAATAATTACCCTTGAATGTTACAAAAGAAACTAAAAATTACTCTTTAAACTAGAATTCCTCGCCTGTTTAAAAAGATAAACACAGCAATTAGAGATTTCCTATTAGTATTCTATATATTGATCTTTCACTTATATTTAAAGAGTATTCTCACAATTTTTATTTTTATTAACAATAGCTGACACATTATTTGGAAGAAAGACATGTCTCTATATTAAATTGATTGATTGTATGAGTCTTTTGCACACTGAAACCTAAAAGAAATTGATGAAAGATATTAAAGAAGATACAAATAAATGGAAAGTCATCCAGTGTTCATGGCTTGGAAGACTTAATGTTAAAATGTCCTTACTAATCAAAGTCATTTATAGATTCAGTGCTATTCACATCAAAATCTCAGTGACATTTTTACAGAAATAGAAATAAGCAATCCTGAAATTCACATGGAATCACAAAAGACCCTAGATAAACAAAGCAATATTGAGAAAAAAGTACAAAGCTGGAGGCCTCACTCTGATTTCAAAACATATTATAAAACTATAGTAGTTAAAACAGTATATTACTGGCAAAATAAAGAACACCAGACACATAGACCAAGGGAAACAATAAAAAGCCCAAAAACAAACTTACACTTATAGTGTCGATTGATCTTCAGTGAGTTCCAGGAATAAACAATGAGAAAAGCATAGTCTCTTCAACAAGTGACATTGAGAAATTTAAATATCCACATGCAAAATAACTATATTGGTGCTTTGTGTTTTGCCATACACAAAAAATAAGCTCAAAATAGATTAAAGACTTAAATATAAGACATGAAACTATAAAGGTTTTGGAGAGAAATAGAAAAAAATTGTGATATTGGTTTAGAACATGATTTTTTTTGATATGACACCAAAAGCATGGGCAATAAAACCAAAATTAGACAAATGAGACTACACCAAAATAAAAAGCTTCTGCATAGCAAAGAAAACAATCAACAGAGTGAAAAGGGAACCTATTGAGTGGGAGAAAATATTTGTAAATAGTACCTGATAATGAGTTAATATCCAAAATATAAAAGAACTCCTACAACCCAATAGTAAGTAAAAACAAATAAGCTTTTTAAAAAATGAGCAAAGTATGTGAATAGATATTTCTATAAAGAATACATACAAATGACCAACAGGTATAATAAAAGATGTGTAACATCACTAATCAGGGAAATGCAAATCAAAACTGTAGTGTAATATTACCTCGCACCTCTTAGGATTACTATTATAAAAATGGCAAAATATAAAAAGTGTTGATAAATGTAGAGAAATTGGAATACTTTTATACTGTTGATGGGAATATAAAATGGTGCATCCCCTATGGACAAAAAGTATGGAGGTTCCTCAGAAAATTAAAAATATAACACCACATGACCCAGCAATCCCCACCACTGGGTATATAGCCAAAAGAATTGAAATCGGGTTTTTAAAGAGATATCTGCACTCCCATGTCCGCTGTGGTATTATGCACAATAGCTAAGATATAAAAACAACCTTAATATCTATTAACAGGTGAATGGATTAAAAATGTGATATATAAATAAAATGGGATATTATTCCGCCTTAAAAAAAGGGAATTCTGCCATATGCAATAATATGGATGAACCTGGAGGGCATTAGTCAAATTATCCAGGCACGCAAGGACAAATACTGCCTGATCTCACTTATATAACAGGTATGAAATAGTTAAACTCAGAGAAGCAGAGACAATAGTAGTTTGTTCAGTGGGTATAAAGTTTCAGTTATGCAAGATGAATAAGTTCTAGAGACCTCCTGCGAAACATAGTTCTTATAGTTATCAATCTTGTATTCCATACTTGAAATAATGTGTTAAGAGGATAAATCTTAAGTCAAGTGTTCTTACCACAAAAAGGAGGGAGAGAGATAGGAGGAAATTTTAAGAGGTGAAGGACAGGATGGTGGTGAGGGTTTCAAAGATGTATTTGTTCCAACCAAAAAATTACATATATTAAATATGTACAGTTTTTGGTAATAAAAAAGGATGAGTTTATGCAACATGATTTATGTGTGTATAAAATGATTTAATGAATTAAATAAATTCATTACTACTTGAGACAACACATCAAACTTAGTACACGATACATAAGTACTCAAGTAAATGTTCATAATTACTACTATTCCTATAATGTTTCTGGTCATCCAAAACATTATAGTGACAAACACACCAGTTATTAATTATTGACTATGTGCCAGGTACTAGGTTAGATGTTTTATATTTAACAGTAATCTCATCACAACTTTGAAAGAGAAATATTTATCTTTTTTTTATTTGGCCAGGAATCACAGAATCCAGAATTCAAATCTGATTTTGTCTGACTTTAAGCCCAGCTTCTCTTTATTGACCAGCCAAATTACTATTATCCAAATGTTAGATAAACACAAGCATAGAATACAGTTTCATTTTAAGGTTTAAGTACATTTAATTCATTTATGGAATCACAAAATGTAGTGGAATAAAACATCTATCCACCAGAGGACATGAATGCTAAGGACTGGAATCAGCTGACGTCTCACTCACTTTTCTGGCTGACTGTTGACTGAAACCTACATGTGGCCACTGCATGTATTCTGGGCTTCTTACAGTAAGTGGCTGGTTTCCAGGGCAAACATACCAAAAAGGAGAGGGTCAAACCGAAGGCATGTCCTCCTCATGACCTGGCCTCCTGAATCACAGAGCATCACTTCTTTTGTAGTCTATTGATTTGAATAGTCACAAGCACACTGAGGTTCCAAGGAAGAGACAATAAACTGTATCTCATGAAGAGAAGTGGCAAAGTTCTAAAACAGCATTTGTGGCCAGAAATAATCCTGTGGCAAATTTTGGAAATTACCATCTGCCACACTTTTATAAATAGTAATTATTTAAAACAAAGAAATCATTTGTATGTAAATGCTGAAGTAAAAATGTGATAGCCCAGTGTGCTAAACATTTACTAAGCTTTCTCCAATAAGAGTACTGCCTTAAAGGCCTTATACAATATGTTAGATCAATACAGTTCAGTTGAATTTCTGAGACAATGAAAATATTTTATATCTGTTATGTCCAAAGGTAGCTGCTAGCCATCTGTGGCTATTGAACTCTTGAATGTGGCTAATGCAACTAAGGAACTATGTTTTAAACTTTATTTTAGTTAATTTAAATTTAAATGCCCACAGAATTATATGCTTGATATGATCTGGATCTGTGTCCTCACCCGAATCTCATCTTGAATTCTAATTCCCATGTTTTATGGGAGAGACACCATGGGAGGTGATTAGATCATGGGGACAGTCCCCCCATGCTGTTGTGATGGTGGGTGAGTTCTCATGAGAGCTGATGGTTTGATAAGGGGTATTTCTCCACTTTACTCTGCACTTCTCTCTCCTGCCACCATGTGAAGAAGGATGTGTTTGCTTTCCCTTCCACCATGATTATAAGTTTCCTGAGGCCTCCCTAGCCATGCAGAACTGTGACTCAATTAAACCTCTTTCCTTTACAAATTACCCAGTCTCAGGTATGTCCTTATAGCAGTATGAGAATGGACAAATACAATGGTATTTATCTAATTTTATTTCTTATGTGAGATGTTAGCATTAATATGATGGTCAGTTATAGAGGCAATTCAAGTAGCGTAGACTCCCAAATAAAATTTGAGATGTTTATAAAAATTATCAATATACTGTAACTGCATTTTTTACTAAATTGAATTTGTTCCCAATAATACAGTAAACATAATGTGGAGTCAATTTCTAATTTAATTTGAAATCACTAGTTTTAAATCAAAATTTAATAACTTTTATTTTAAAAACATGCATTTTATGGTAATAGGACACTAATAATTGAGAGGTCAATAACTTGTTTTAATCTCTAATGTTAATGATCTTAATGCTGCTTTATATAATCTTTAAAATGCATTACAAAAATATATTTTATGAATAAAAACAGTCTCAGATTGTGTCTATAAAAAATCAAGCCACTGATATGCTGGGTGCAGGGAGAAGCAAATAACTGGCTAATAATGAACTAAGTCAGTCAGACCTATTTTATTGCATCCTTTAGATCTGTTATCCTAAAAGATGGTTTAGGATGCTTCTAAAATGGTTGCCCATTTAAATGGAACAGAAACTTTTGAAAAATATCAGTGTCCAGGTCCATTCCCCAGAGATTCTAATTTAATTGGCTTGGGAAGAACATTAGTACTTTGTAAAATAACCTAAGTAATTTGAATATGTAACCTGGGTAGAGAATCATGACTATAGATAAGACTGTAAGCTAAAATAATTTTAGGAGAAATATGTGTTTAATATATACATACATATATGGCTATTATAACATCAATTCATAATAAATATATTACTGAAAACACATCTAACACACTGGGGCCAGAAAGAATCCTGTGGCAAACTCTGGAAAACCACCATCTGTCATACTTTTTTTTTTTTTTATATTTGAGATGGAGTTTCACTCTTGTTGCCCAGGCTAGAGGGCAATGGTGCCATCTTGGCTCACCGCAACCTCCGCCTCCTGGGTTCAAATGATTTTCCTGCCTCAGCCTCCTGAGTAGCTGGGATTACAGGCATGTACCACCGTGCCCGGATAATTTTTGTATTTTTAGTAGAGACAGGGTTTCTCTGTGTTGGTCAGGCTGGTCTCAAACTATCGACCTCAGGTGATCCGCCAACCTCAGCCTCCCAAAGTGGTGGCATTACAGGCGTGAGCCACCGTGCCCGGACCATACTTTTATAAATAATAATTATTTTAACCAAACAATTAAGATGCACATATAAACTCTAATGTGAAAATGCAATGACCTTAGTGAGCTAAAAATTCATGAATATTTTCCAAATAAAGTATATATCTTAAATGCCTTGTACAATATATTAGATCAATACTGTCCAGTAAAATTTAAATTCTGTATATCTAATGATCATACATCTAATGAAAACTTATATGTAATTAAAATATATATCAATGAAAACACATATCTAATGAAAAAGCTTATTTAGCAATGCACAATATAAGTAGAATGTAAGCATCAATTTTGCTCTTAAATTGAGCTCCCCAGAATGATTTTTATAAGAAGCCAAATGCCACAATTATTGTTATAAGCTATTTAAGGAAGTCACTAAAACCTGTAAACATGTATTCAGTCAAAACTAATATCCAAATTTGGTTACTGTTTTATTGTTTCTTCCAAACTCACATAATAGGATATAGAAAACCAATACATTTAATCTTTAAATAGCATGAAAATCCACATAGGGAAATTTGAGTATACGTTTATTTCAATCATAGTCCAACAATTAAATTTGCTGTACAGGCTGCCATTCTTTTGGGAATATCTCATCCATCTGTAGCTCACTAACACAAATCTACACAAATTATCCCATCTGTGGATTAAGAAGGTGGTGATTTAAAGGCAAATAAAGTGGCTAATCTAGCTATTTGATACCAGTGATAATTATAAATTGATATCTGTGTTGGGATAAGTAACAGACAGGCAACTGAAAGAGGTCAACAAGAAAGGGTTCTTTATATCATTAACAAGAACGCTTGCAGCAGAGGGACTCGTGGAACAAATGAAAGAACTCTAGCTTGGCCTTAAAGACCCTAGATCAGCTTCTCTGCTTTCCCCTTGCCTTCTCTTCATAGTTCGAAGAAGGCTGTGCCATGTTAGATATTACTTGCAAAAGAAAAATATCCAGAGCAAAAGAGGATCCATGCTCTTGTTTGTTTGGTGTACCTTTTTCAGAGTAACAACACGTTATTCTGTCTTCAAAATATTCCCTATGGTGTTTTATTTAGGGTTGTGACACATGCCCCTGCTTAAACAGTCACAGGAAAGGGAAATTAAATTATCATGCTTGGGTTAGTCTTATCAACCTTTGTCCCCTGGGGCTGGGAAGGGATCATAATTAACATGACCACCCAAAATGTGAACAAAGTACAAAGTACGGGTTTGCTAGCAAAGAAAAAGCAGAAAAAAAGTTGTTGCATACACCAGACAGGGGCCTCTCAAATGTTAATGGTCATACAATCACCTGGGGATCTTGTTAAATGCAGCTGCTGATTTAATATGCTCCCAGGTGATACTGATGCTGCCAATTTGTGGGCCACAGTTTAAATAGAAAGAGAATAAACTACCAACTAAATTGCCACAGGTATTCCTTTCATAATATTTTCTTTTTTGTTTAATAGTAATGTTTTCAAGTAATGCAGAATGCTGATGTTGATGGGGAAAATAGAAACCAAAATGTAAATTTTGAAGTTCTTTTTAAAATGGACCAAGAAATCAAACAAATGGGTATTTTTCTATATATGTATAAAATATCATTATATAACCTAATTTGTGTTTATTGTCCACATAGGCACATAAACTTATAGTTTACCAGTAAGCAATACAATGTATAAGCAAAGCATAATATATGAATAAAAAGATTTATAAGCTTTTAACTCATAAAACATATTTAAATTACATTTATTAATTATAAGCCAATACCCAGTTAGAATATTTATACTTAATTGTCAAATTTTTAGAAATTATATTTCATAAATTTTTATTTTATTTGGAAAGAAAATACATTTTTACTGAAAAATTTGTATTTCTCAATCAACCAGTCTTCCAATTACTAAAAATATACTGAGCCCCTTATTTTAGCAACTTTAAAAATAGACTTTCTCAAATTTGCTTTTGTTAAAAAAATTATTTTCAAATTTCCTAATAATTGTGAATTATGACCAAGATATATGTGACTCAGACAGTCAAATTTACTTTATAGAAATGTAAACACGTATCTTCAAATTCTCCATCAGAAACCTGGCACCAAACCCTATTGACTTCTCAATACCTTACTTGCAATATATCAGAAGGTAATATCTTCAAAGACAAATTATTTTAAAATTCTTTATTCTGCAACTGGTAAATCCTCATAGCCAAAAGTCTTATGATACTCTGCAGTTTTTTAAAAGTCCCCAATAAGTATTTCTCCAAGTCATAATGTTAGAGTAGGTAGTTAGGCAGACATGAGCCAGGCAGGAGAGCCTCTCCCAACCCCAGAGAACTTCAGGGGACCATCAGGTAATGGTCAGGTGGTTGTTAAACTGTGTCTCTGAAATTATAATTGGTCACAGCTGGTACTAGGGACCGACAGTCTCCCAATAAATAGGAAACTCCTGGAGCTGTGGAGGAGCAGCAGCTTCCCGATAAGATCTCAGGGATTGGGCTAGTGGGCTCAAGCATGCACTAAGAGGCAAAATGGCAAAGTTTAACTGGTATATAACCTTCCTCTGGGAATTTTTGTCTAATGAGGGGAAAAACACCTCAAGTGAGCATGCACACAACTTCAGTAAACACACTGTGTATGCACCCCTTCCCAAGTGCTGGCGGGCCACTGTGCCTGTGGACAGCCTGCCGCAAGGGAGAAATCAAGGGAGGAGAAACTCAAATCCCGGAACCAAGCCAATGTATTAAAATCCCAAGCCAAAGGTTGGACGGGGCACTTGGATCTCTCAAGGAACCCACTTGACCCTCTTCCAAGTGTGCTTTGCTTCCTTTCACTCAGGCTCTAAAACTTTTTAATAAACTCTCACTTTTGCTCTAAAACTTGCCTCAGTCTCTCCCTCTGCCTTAAACATACTTCTGCCCCTCAGCCAAATTCTGTCCTCCAGAGAGGCAAGGATCACTTTCGCTGCAGATTCGCGTTGGTAACAATAGTACTTGAAAGCATGGTTCTGCATGTCCAAGCAAATTTTCTGAGAGCCGGTCTTGTAAATCTGCTTCATCACCCTTTTCTGGCTCCGTCTCTGTTCTGGCAGGGTGAGTCTTTAAATCCCTTTTGGAATCCTCTGGTGGAATTGCTGGTTATTTTAATTAATGTTGTACATCTGTATTTTTGCTTCATACCTCATCAAACTTATGATGCTCAAAGCAGGCAATTCCAAGCAAATTCACTCTTCAAAGATAGCTGCCTAATTTTGTGTGGTGTTTTTCAGTTTGTTGTTTAAAGAGTTCCAGGTTTGTAAAGTAAGGGAAAAATAAGCAAGTGGGAAACTCATGTATTTTATTCCCTGCTGGATCCCTAGTGTCCAGAACAACGTCTGGCACAAAATAGGTGTTCAGTGGGTGGGTGAATGAACACATATTTCTGTTAACACAATACAATTTTCCTTCTTCACTTATTCAACCAGTATTTGAAAACAATTTCAACTTAGTTAAGAACGCCATACAGTGATGAGATACTAATAATTGATACATCTGCATGAAGTGTTTTTCTATATTATAGTATCTTCTTTAAATATCTTTGTAGTGTCTTCTTTGAATAGCTTAGAAATATTTTATACACAGTAGAGCATAATTTTCCTACTACTTCAATAATTGAGTTAAGTGCAAAGGCCTTCCAATGTATACTTAGAAAAATATTTGTGCTGATTAATGAGGAAGTTTGGAACAAGTTTTGCAAATACTGCTTTCAAAATTTTTATTATCCTCCACTTAGATCATATTCTGCACATTTATACTGTGGCTCATACTGCACAGACAGTATCTATTTTTCATCCTTTTTTTTTCTGCAGGCAGCATAAAACAGAATAATGCTTTTTCATTATTATGATATATGTAACCAGGGTGCTAAACTCCTAAATAAGGACCAGGCACCAAAATCATAGATCTTCTTAATAATGCCATATTTTATGTTAATTCTTTAATACTACATACTTATTTTAAACAGGAAAATGAAAGTCTATGTCCCATAATTGTGCAAATATATTGGCAACATTATTTGCCTAGTATAATAATCTAACATTTCCTCCTTTCAAATGGTCCATATTTTAGTCCTACCCATTGTGTTTCAAAATACCATTAGATCAAGAAAACACAATAAAAAACAGTAAGTATGTGTTAGATCAACAATGGCCGAGTCTTAAGTTTCCTCATTTGTGAAGGTGAGTACTGGACTAATATGGCTAAAACTGCCAGCTATTGACCAAAATTTGTCTACCTCCAGAGTGCAGAGTTGTCATCAGAAGGCAACTGCCTTGCCAGGACTATGTTTTCTTGCTCTTCTCACATCTATTTGTAGCCGTATAAAATATGAACAGAAATGATGAGTACCCCTTTCTGACTAGGGCATTTAAGAAGCAGATGATGAATCTTCTCCACACTTCTGTTCCACTGCCCGGATGCAGAGGACTTCAAAATCCTGGAGGACTGGGGAGTCAAAAGATGTTAGAAAACTAAGTTTCAGAGTCACTGCATGGGAGAGATCTACCCACTAACCGAGAACACCTGCATTAGGCAATGTAATAAGTGACAAACTATTATGTGATGCCACTGTTATTTTGGGGTTTCCTTGTTTCAGCAGCTAGAATTATCCTAAATAAACTACTGATCACTGTAATTGTACTTCATAGAACTCAAACATTAAATTAGTAAGTATGCAAAACAATAAAATCTAAATACAGTTATAGTGCATATGTAATTAAGAGACATTAGTAACATTGAAGGCTGTAAGCTTTTGTTATTAAATTATGGATAATTACTAAATAAGTATAAAATGCCATAAAAATAAGTATTATGGGCCAGGAACTAAAGGTTCATTTAAACATTACAAGGATCCTGTGAATTAGTTATTATTTTCCTTCATTATACAAATGTAGTAACTGAAGAGAATTTTCCCAAAGTTTTAGACTTGATAAATATAGGATTTTGAAATTTAATAGAAACTTTTGTACCACCAAAGTAATTTTGTTCCACTATAGTTTGCTATCTTCTAAAATAGCTCATTATGCAAATATTTCATTTTGCCTTTTCCTTTCACCACCAGTATTTGACAGTAGTCTATACATCATGCTTCCAGTTTCTGGCCAACAATGCATTCTACTGATTCTTGTAATCAGACTGTAATCTATTATTTTGCTGAAACTAGGCAATTCAACTTTCATTTTCACAGATTTAAGAAGAATACAAATGATGAGGACAATCTCAGAGAGGTATTGTGTTAAAGTAAAAATAGAGAATATGTCTTTTGCTACTATTTGTGTAAAAATTAAAAGAGGAGGCCTGGCGCGGTGGCTCACACCTGTAATCCCAGCACTTTGGGAGGCCCAGATGGATGGATCATGAGGTCAGGAGTACGAGACCATCCTGGCTAACAAGGTGAAACCTCGTCTCTACTAAAAAAATACAAAAAATAACTAGCCGGGCGTGGTGGCGGGCGCCTGCAGTCCCAGCTACTCGGGAGGCTGAGGCAGGAGAATGGTGTGAACCCAGGAGGCGGAGCTTGCAGTGAGCCAGGATCACACCACTGCACTCCAGCCTGGGCTACAGAGCGAGACTCTGTCTCAAAAAAAAAAAAAAAAAAAAAAGAGGAATAATGTATATACTTGCATATACATAGAACAATGTGAAAAGCAATATAAAAGCCTTGTGATTTATTCTCTGACCTGGAATACAAGAGAAAGAAGTTTGCATTTCACGGCAAGCTTTTCGTAACTTTTGAATTTTTGTGTTTAATTCAGAAAAAACATAAACCACACATTTGATTTTATAATGAATGAATAGCCACATTCATTATTCAGGGTACTACTATATTAGACACTTATGACCAAATTTTTTTCTAGATAATTTCTTTTGTTCATGCTCATGATTCTTCGACCTGAAGTATCTTCTTTGTTCCAAAAACCTATTCATTATTCAAGATCATTTAAAGTTTATCTGAAGTCTGTGATTTCCACTACATCACAGAAAAATAAAATCATACTCAAGTGTGTAATTCTCTGCATCTCTTATAATACTTGACTAGTTATTCTTTTGTGAGACCTGGATATATGAGTTTCAGATCATAAATCCTTGAAATTAGGAATTATCTTTTTTTCATCTTTGTTCCACAAAGTCTAGTCCTATTTGGGATAGAGTAACCCAATAAATTACTGAGCTCTGGTTGAGTCATTCCTCACGTGACATATGAAGTGATGTTTTCCAATTTACCCATCAATGATTCAGATCTAGAAAACCTTCTTATACTTATCTTTCCCTCTCTAATCATGCATCAAAAAAAAAGTGACAAAAGAGTTTTTTGCAATAGTACTTAGCACATTTTTCTTGAAGCATTTATAGAAAGTGAAATCATAAGGCATGGTAAAGTACCATTTTATCAGGAGCATCAATTTTTACAATTTATTTGTCAATTCTGACACAACTAAAACACTAAGAATAATATTTAAACAAGCTAATTGAGTAGACTATTGAAAGACTATAAGTGAAATACTTAGGGCTTAAAATCATTGTATAGATTTTTATTACCATAGATTTCAAAGTAATAAAAAATTGTCCACAATGAGTGAATAATGTAATAAATGGCTAATTTAGATGACTTAAATCATAGCTTAGACATTTGTTAATGATAAAGTATGAGAAACTATGGCTAAGACAACATTTCAGACAAAACTACTGCGATGTGAAAAAGACAGAGAACTACATACAACAACAGCACTTGGACAATAAATCTTTGCATTCTCCCAGATGGTTGTGTTGTCCAGTATAAAATATGTATGATAGATTTATATGCCTCCCTTCTATGCAGTGTTTACATAACTTGTTTAGCTGGGTACCTAGGTCACATCATTCATCTTCAGAATAGTCCTTTTTGTTAATTTATTCTTCACAGCACTTAAAAGTCTTTATTATTAATCAACTCACATTAAAGGTAAATAACATAGCACATATATATACATATATATGAATTCAGTACAATCACAAAGAACTGTAATACTAAAGTTTTGTATGTTAAGTCTCACTTTTTCATCATATTAATAAAATAATTGTCTCTTTTTAAACTTTTTTTACTTTAAAAAATTTTATAACGATGAAGTATAGATCTAGAAATATTCTCTGGACTATTTTATTTGAATGACCTTTTAAGATTTTGTTCTCTTCTATAATTCTTGAATTTAAAACAGGAAAAACAGAAATGTAACCAACATGGTAGAATCCTGATACTTTGCATTGTGTATGAAGTAGAGAATCATAAAAAATGGTTTGCTTTCATTTAAACTATATTTTCTGAAATCAATTACATATTGCAGTTCTCTACTAGAGATGTTAAGAAGTTATTTAATTCTTTTTTAAAATTATAATTTGATAGTTTTTCTCTTTCCTTGTTTAATTACAGAACTTGGTATCATATCTTTGCAAGAAATTTGTTTTAGCAAAGGTGGTGTAAATCTGATAAGCAGAATATGTTACCTGTTTCACTCAGAGTTTCATTGCGCACAGCAGAAATCATAATCGCGATTTTAAGCTTGAAGGTATTTATCGTTATCTATTGAGTTTCTTATAAAATTGTTGGAAGGCCAAAATAGTAGGCAGCCCATGTCTCCAAGAGTAGCTTTCAAACTCCAGTATCAGTCTGCCCCTGTAACATGGTTAAAGCTTTCATAACCACTGCAGAAAAGTCTAAAATCTTCTGACATGCTGACAGCAGAATGACACCAGTTATATTTCTATACATGCCAGCAAATAAATGTTTTATATCCTGCTTTTCTTCACATTTAGTTCTTTTCTACAGCCAAATGGCACTGTGAGAGTATCTGTGGAATCTAAATCCTATCCAGGACCCAGGCTATGTGGGAATCATGGAGAGACAAAGATTAGCATTCTAGAATCCACAACACCAAAGGCATACTTAAAGGGAACTGGAATGTTTTCAGAAGGAACCTTTTGATGATATCTTTCCTAATTCTCCCGCTAGGAAACTCCACAAACAAACCTAATAAAGCAGCAGGAATTGCAACAGTAATATGTTCCTGATATAATGCAACCCTCTTACCCATAAACAGGGATGGGTTATCTTTCTCCCCTACGAAAGAGTTCTTTCATCTTTTGGTGATGATCACTATTCCTGTGGCTCAGGTACAAATCTAAATTGACATCCTGTCAATTTAGCTGATAAATTGGGAGCTGATAAATTTGATTTTCATGACCACCATCATGGCATAGACAGACTATAGAACAAAGAAAATTTGTATCATTTTCACAGTCCTTGTTAGTTATGAAATCATAGCTTAGGAGACTGCACTGAAGAACTTTTGGGGTGATATTTCATATTTGTTCTAGCACTAGTTTTGTGCTGTGAGTGTGTGCCTTTACATAGAATCCAATATGAATGACTCTTGAATAGTGCCTCAGATTTGGACATTTCAGTAGTTCTTCTAATCTTATCATTGTTGTTACTTACAACTTCCAGCAGCCACTAGCTGTTATATTTTCCATTGTTCTCAGTCAAAATACCTACTGAAGGGTCTGTGCTTGCCAGGGTGACTCAAAACCCTTATTTTGACACATGATGAGCTTTAGTTCTCCTGTTTGTATTTAGTTGACATAGTCTTCCACTAACTTTTACCACTGGACATAAAGTACCAAATGGTAATCTAAACAATTTTCTAGACTCCATCCACTCTCCTCCTTTGCCGTTATATGTAACAGGAACCCCCTCGTTCTTTTTCTTTTCTTTTTTCCTTTTATTTTCTTTCTTTTCTTTTCTCTCTTCTCTTCTCCTCTTTTCTCCTCTTTCCTTTTCTTTTCTTTTCTTTCTGCCTTGCTCTGTCACCCAAGCTGGAGTGTAGGGGAGCAATCCCAGTTCACTACAGCCTCAACATCTGGGACTCAAGTGATTCTTCCACCTCAGCCTTCCAAGTGTGCATCATCATGCCTAATTAATTTTTTTTGGAGAAATGAGGTCTCTATGTCATCTAGGCTGGTCTCGAACTCCTGGCCTCCAGTGATCTTTTGCTGGGATTTTAGGCTTGAGCTACTGCTCCTGCCCCCTCTCCACCTCACATTCTTCTTAATAATAACAGCTGATCACTCAAGCCAGTACAGTAACTTCTCTATTGGCTCAGAGACTCAGAAAGTACAAAAAACTAGGATGACAATCCTGACTTACCACTAAATGCAACCACTGTGTCCCTGGGTGGAAACATTATTCTGTTGGGAAGTAGATCTCTAAACTAACAGAGCTGACATTATTAAACAGGAGAAAAATGAATCTGAAGGGCCATTTGAAGTACAGTTGAGAGGAAGTACTTTTAAATCCATCTCTCGGTTTCCAGGCCTCTATATCCTAAATATAAGACAAATGATATATGTATATATAGTTTTCAGATTCACAGCAAAATATATCACATCAGATAGAATAGGTCTCAGCCACCTCCAGACCTCCAGGTGTTAGTATTTAATTGGTGCTATTATTAAGTGATATGATGGAGCCTTTACTAATTAATAATGTTTAAAGCAATAATTCATCATATGGAAAAGAGAAAATTGTGTATAATCCTCACCAAATCTGTCAAGACAAATTCCAAATGGGTCAGAGTTTTGAAATTAAATATATAAGTATTAAAATAATAATTAAATTGAAATTTTTTACAACCTAGGGGTAGAGAGTATTTCCTAACCATAACTTTTAATTTATTTGAAGCAATTAAAGAAAAGATGGTGATATGGTTTGGCTCTGTGTCCCCATTCAAATCTCATCTCCAGTTTTAATCCCCATGCCTTGAGGGAGAGAATAGGTGGGAAGTGATTGGATCATGGGGGTGGTTTCCCCAAGCTGTTCTCATGATAGTGAGTGAGTTCTCAAGAGATCTAATGGTTTTATAAGGCTCTGGCTCTCTCTTGCATGCCAGCATGTAAGATGTGACTTCTTCCCCTTTTGCCATGATTGTAAGTTTCCTTTGGCTTCCCCAGCCATGTAGAACTGTGAGTCAGTTAAGCCTCTTTTCTTTATAAATTACTCAGTCTCAGATTTATAGCAATGTGAAAATGAACTAGTGTAGTAAATTGGTACCGTGGAGAGTGGGGTATTGCTATAAAGATACTTGAAAATGTGGAAGCAACTTTGGAACTGGGTAACAAGCAGAGGTTGGAACAGTTTGGAGGGCTCAGAGGCAGACAGGAAGATGTGGGAAAGTGTGGAACTTCCTAGAGACTTGTTGAATGGTTTCGACTAAAATGCTGACAATGATGAGGACAATGAAGTCCAGGCTGAGGTGGTCTCAGATGGTGAAGAAGAACTTGTTGGGAACTGCAGCAAAGATGACTCTTGCTATGCTTTAGCAAAGAGACTGGCATTATTTTGCCCCTGCCCTAGAGATCTGTGGACCTTTGAACTTGAGAGCAGTGATCTGAAATTTGAATTTATATTTAAAAGGGAAGTAGAGCATACAAGTTTGGAAAATTTACAGCCTGACAATGCGATAGAAAAGAAAAACCCATTTTCTGAGGAAAAATTCAAGCAGGCTGCAAAAATTTGCATAAGGAACAGGGAGCTGAATGTTAATCACTATGACAATAGGGAAAATGTCTCCAGGGCATGTCAGAAATTTGGTGGCAGCCCCTCCCATCACAGGCCTAGAGGCCTATAAGGAAAAAATGGTTTCATGGACAAGGCCTATGGCCCTCCTGCTCTGTGTAGCCTTGAGACCTGGTGCCCTGTGTCCCAGCTACTTCAGCTCCAGCTATAGCTAAAAGGGGCCAAGGTACAGCTCAGGCCATTGCTTCAGAAGGTGCAAGCCCCAAGCCTTGGTGGCTTCTATGTGGTGTTGGCCCTACAGGTACACAGAAGTCAATAATTGAAGTTTGGGAACCTCTGCCTAGATTTCAGAGGATGCATGGAAATGCCTGGATATCCAGGCAGAAATCTGCTACAGATGCAGTGCCCTCATTGTGAACCTCTGCTAGGGCAGTGTGGAAGGGAAATGTGGGGTTGGAGCCCCCACACAGAGTCCCCACTGTGGTACTGCCTAGTGGAGCAGTGAAAAGAGGGCCACCATCCTCCAGTCCCCCAAATGGTAGATCCACCAACAGCTTGCACCATGCACCTGGAAAAGCCATAAACACATAAAACCAGCATATGAAGGAGCTGCCCAAGGCCATGGGAGCCCACCCCTGCATCAGCATGCCCTGGGTGTGAGACATGGAGTCAAAGGAGATCATTTTGGAGCTTTAAGATTTAATAACTGCCCCCGTGGATTTTGGACTTGCATGGGGCCTGTAGCCCCTTGGTTTTGGCCAATTTTTCCTATTTGGAATGGGTGTATTAACCCAATGCTGTACCCCCATTGTATCTTGGAAGGAACTAATTTGTTTTTTATTTTATCAGCTCATAGGCAGAAGGCACTTGCCTTGTCTCAGATGAGACTTTGGACTGTGGACTTTTGGATTAATGCTGAAATGAGTTAAGACTTTGGGGGACTGTTGGGAAGGTATGATTGTGTTTTCAAATGTGAGGATGTGAGATTTGGGAGGGGCCAGGGGTAGAATGATATGGTTTGGCTATGTCCCTACCCAATTCTCATCTCAAATTGTAATCCACATAATCCCCACATGTCAAGGGAGGAACTATGTGGGAGGTGATTGGATCATGGGGGTGGTTTCCCCCATGTTGTACTTGTGATAGTGAGTGATAGTGAGTGCGTTCTCATGGGATCTGATGGTTGTATAAGGCAGTTTTCCCTGCTCTTGCTCTCTCTTGCCTGCCACCATGTAGGACGTGACTTCCTCCCCTCTCCTCATGATTTTAAGTTTCCTTTGGCCTCCCCTGTGAGTGGAAGTGTGAGTCAATTAAACCTGTTTTCTTTATAAATTACCCAGTCTCAAGTATGTCTTCATAGCAGTGTGAAAATGGACTAATACAGATAGATACATTTGACAATATAGAACATAAAGAGACATTTGCATAGAAAATGAAAATAAAAATATTTGGCAAACCAGAATATATATTTTTATATTATCCATAGATAAAACTGTAATATTTCTTATTGGTAGTCTATAAGTTAAAAAGTAAAATATAAATATCCTATGCAAAAATGTGCAAAGAAAAGTCAAGTTACAACAAAAAGAAATGCTACATTTTACTTTATTCCTGCTAGCCTAAAATGAAATAACAATGACAACATAAAGATTAATAATTACTATAATAAATTTTAACCCACCATATATACATAAAAAAATCATTTTTTTATTGACACAAAAATGATGAACTGGCACTGGTTATTAGTGAGTGTTTCTAGGTAATGTTATTATTTTGAAAGTGATTAATTAAAAGGATAAAAGAAAACATTTATTCTGCCTTTTCCATAAATTTTGGATTGCTTTGTGTTTCTCTAAAATTTATGTTGAATTTTTAACCCTCAGTAACTCAGAATGTAACTATTATATTGATATAGGGCCTTTAAAGAGATAATTAAGATAAAAGAGGTCATAAAGATGGGATCTTATCCAATATAACTGATATGCTGATAAGAAAAGAGAGACACCAGAGGTACAGCCATGTAAAGACACAGTGAGAAGATGACCATCTACAGCCAAGGCAAGAGGCCTTTGAATAAACCAATCCTGCTGACATCTTGTCTTGGACTTGAGCCTCCAGAACTTAAAAAAAAAAAAAAAAATTCTGTTGTTTAAGTCACCAAGTGTGTGGTAATTTGTTATGGCAGCCGTAGCAAACAAACTCATTGTACATGTTATATTTTAGTCTCACAGAATACTTGATGTAGAATAATGTTTCCTTATTAAAAATAATATGGCTAATAAATGTAAAAGAATGACGGGAATGATATTCTATTTTGCAATTCTTAGTTACATAATAAGTTATCATCAGTGAATACTAAAACCATTAATTGAAAGAGTGTGGAAAAGATTTGTAAAGGATAGATCAGTCTGACAGCCCCTGAATCCACTGGTTATAATTAGCATCTCTAAAAGTGGGATAAGTAGACATTAAATGCTCCGTAATGTAATAAAATAAAAAGTATCCATAAAATGTCCTTGCTTACAAAAATTGAACATAAATCTGAACTAATACCACTTTACAAGAAACATAGGGGTACAAGTACACAAACCCATGAGGAATCAGTCATTCAAATATCAGAATATGGGACATTTTATGGAACAGATAACATAAATTTTGAAAAACCAAACCAAACAAAAAAACAATGGCATGGAAGGGAATAAAAGCAAAGAGAAGGAAGGAAGGTTGTTATAGAATAAAAAAGACTTAAACCTAATTACACATGCAATGTGTGGATATTTGCTGGATGTTATTTTGAAAAAAAAAACAAAGTATATTTTTGTCGCAACTGGTGAAATTTCAATATTGATGACAAATTTAGTTAGCTGTATGAAGTGCAATAATACTGTGGTGGATATTTTTAAAGTTCTTATGGGGTTAAAATGCTTAGTAATATTTATGGGTAGTATAGCGTAATTTTTATTATTTGCTTTAAAACAGTATACACACACAAAGGAAAACTGGAATGGTTATTAAACAATGACACAAGTCTGGCAAAATGTCAGTAATTGAGACTGGGTGATGAGTACATGGAATGGTTTACAACGATCTCTCTGCTTTTGGTTATCTTTGAAAGTTTTTATTTAATATGTACTAAAAGTATTTCCACAAGGTAGAAATGTGCCATTTATGGTGTTGTTTCATGTTTTTAACTGTTTCAGTGTTACTATTTCGAAGAGGAAGAAGAAAATAAAAAATAACTTCCTCTCATATTTCCAAGTTTATCTTACAAGGCTAGCATTACCCTGATTAAAAAAAAAAAAAAAAAAAGCCAGAGAGCTACTGCAAGAAAAGTGCCATTATCCCTAATAACCATACATGCGCAAATACTCAATAAAATAATAGCAAGCAGAATTCAAGACTACATTAAGAGATTCATTCACCATGATCAAGTGGGGTTTATCCCTGAAATGCAAGAATATTTTAACGTACACAAATTAATGAGTGTGAATACATCACATTAACAAAATGAAGCACAAAATTATTTGATCATTTCAATACATGCAGAAAAAGTATTTGACAAAATTTAATGCCCCCTACTTTTACCATTTCTTTTCAACATACCACTTGAATTACTAGCCAGAGAATTTGGCAACAGTAAGAAACAAAAAGCATCCTAATAAGAAAGGAAGAAGTCAAAAAGTCTCTGTTTGTGAACAACATAATCTTGTCTATAAAAAAGCCCTAAAGACTCCACCAAAAAACAGGAGTTGGTAAGTGAATCCTGTAAAGTTGCATGAAACAAAATCAACATATAAAAATCAGTAGTGATTTTTAAGAAATTTTTTTAGCTTATCATTTCTGTTTTATTCCTAGAGACCTTTTTGTGGAGCCTTCTCTCCAACACAGAACTGGTTGTCTGTCCTCCTGGAGCATTCAGCACCATTGTACAAATTTCCTTTGCCTTTTATTGGATCCCCTATTTCTTGGATGCTATTTATTACTTTTTCCTTTTTAAGGTGATCCTTGAATAACATGGGTTTGAACTGTGAGGGGGCATTTACATGTGAATTTTTTTCAATAAAAGTATAGATTACCTACATGGATTGTTGACTGCATGGAGGGTTGGCACTCCTAATCCCTGAGTAGTTCAAAGGTCAGTTGAATTGTACTAATAGCAGATTGTCTAAACAGGAAATTAAGAAAACAATCCCATTTATGATAATAACCAAAAAATTTAAATACTTAGGCACAAATTTAAGCCAAAAGGTAGAAGACCTGTATATTGAAGACATTAAAACACTGATAAAATAAATGGAAGAAAACACAAATAAATGGAAAGATATCATGTGTTCATGGATTGAAATAATTAACATTGTGAAAATGTCTGTCCTACCTAAAGCAATCTACAGATTCAGTGCAATCAATCCCAATCAAAATTTCAATGTCATTTATCACAGAAATAGAAAACAAATACTTAAATTTGTATGGAATCACAAAGATTCCAAGTAGCAAAATCAATCTTGAGCAAGTAAAATAAAGCTGGGCCAGGAGTGGTGGTTCACATCTGTAATGTTCATGCTTTGAAAGAACAAGATCTGAGAATTGCTTGAGGCCAGGAGTTTGAGACCAGCCTGGGCAAACATAGTAAGGCTGTACCTCTAAAAAATACAAAATAAAACTAGTCAGGTGTGGTGGTGTACACCTGTAGTCCCAGCTATTTGGGAGGCTGGGGTAGAAGAATCACTTGGGCCCAGGAGTTTGAGGCTGCAGTGAGTGAGTGTCGTGCCACTGCACTCCAGCCTGTGAAATAGAGACAGATCCTGTCTCTAAAATAATAAAAAATGAAAAAGAAAAAAAGAAAAACATACCTGAAGGCATTGCACTCCAGGTTTTCAAAGCATATTGTGAAATGATTGTAATCAAAATAACATGGTACTGGATATAGAATAGACATATTGACTAATGGAACAGGCTAGAAAACCCAAAAATAAATCCATACATTTGTACTCAATGCATTTTTGAAGAAGATATCAAGAATACACAATAAAGGAAGGACAGCTTTTCACTAAATGGTGTTGGTAATACTGTATATTCATATGCAGAACAATTAAAGTAGGCCTTTAATTTACACCATACACAAAAGTCAATTTAAAGTAGATTAAACACACGTTCAGTGTATACTGCTCGGGTGACAGGTGCACCAAATCTCACAAATCACCACTAAAGAACTTACTCATGTAACCAAATACCACCAGTTCTCCAAAAACCTATGGAAATTAAAAAAAACATTTAAAAAATTAAAAAATCAGCAAAAAACCCCCAAGTATGTTAAACATTAAAATATGAAACTTGAAACAGTAAAAATATTAGAAAAAAATTATAGGGGAAAATCTCCATGACATTGATTTGGAAAATGGCTTTTTGGATATGACCCCAAAAGCACAGGCAACTACAGCAAAAATAAACAAATGACATTGCACTAAACTGAAAAGCTTTTTCATAGCAAAGAAAATAATTAACAAAGTGAAAAGACAACCCACAGAATGAGAGCAAATATTTGTAAACCATACATCTGGTAAGATGTTAATATCCAAAATATATAAGGAACTTAACCCAGTAGCAAGAAAATAAACCCGATGAAAAAAATGGACAAAGGACCTGAACAGATGTTTCTCAGAAGAAGAGTAAAAATAGCCAATAGGTTGATTAAAAAATGCTCAGTATCACTAATCATCAAGGAAATGCAAAAAAACCCCACAATGAGATGTCACCTCATATCCGCTAGCTAGAATGGCTTTTATCAAAAAGAAAAAAAATTAACAAGTTTTGGACAGGGTTCAGATAAAAGAGAACTTTTACACATTGTTGGTAGGAAAATAAATTAATATAGCAATTATGGAAAACAGTATAGAGTTTCCTCAAAAAGCTAAAAATAGAACTGCCATGTGATCAAATAATCCCATTTCTGGGTATATATACAATGGAACTGAAATCATTATTTTGAAGACATATCTGGACTTCTGTATTTATTGCAGCATTAGTCACAATAGCCAAGATATGGAATCCATGTAAAGGTTTATCAATGGATAAATGGACAAAGAAAATGTGTTATACACATTCAGCCTTAAAAAGTGGGAAATCCCATCATTTTCACAACATGGATGAATATGGGAGACATTATACTAAGTGAATTAATCCAGGCACAGAAAGACAAATACTACATTATCTCACTTATACCTAAAAAGGTTGATCTGATAGAAGTAGAGAGTAGAATGGTGGTTACCAAAGGCTGAGGGGGTGGGAGGGAGGAAGGGAATGGGGAGTTGTTGATTAACGGGTACAAAGTTCATACTGGGAGGAGAAATATTAATAGGTTTTGAGACTAATTCACAACAAAGTACTATAATTAATAATAATGTATTATAACTAAGAGAGTAAATTTCAAATGTCTCACTGTAAAAAATGATAGGTAAGTAAGGTGATGGATATGTTCGCTTGATTTAATTATTCTACATTGCATACATATATCAAAATAGCATATCGTACCCCATAAATGTATGTAATTATGATTTGTCAATCAAAATAATATTACAAATAAATTTTTTAAAAAGATAGTTTTCTTCTGTGCCACAGTACAGCTAATGCCAAGAAGCAAAGCTCAAGGAGAGCATCTGAAACAGAAAAGGTGCTTTTTAAGAAGTGTATCGCTAATATCCTCCCAAATGAAACAGAGTTTTAAGTCAGTTTTATGACATAAATAAGTGCTACTATGTTACACTGAACACATAACATAAAAAAAATTATTCATAAAATCAGTGTGAAATGATTGGTCTTCTAAACTCCAAAATGACAAATCTTCCCCATCATTTTATCTGTAGTCTCTTGTCTTCTAGTCTTGGCTATTCTAGTCTTTATTGTCTTTTATCACAACAAAAAGAAAAGAAATGGTTTTATCTCTAATTATTAATTTTGTGTACTGGGAATTTTGAACAAACAAGAGTGGCAGGTACCTGTCAGCAATGTTCCCACTTCTGATCTAAAAAAGTATATAATAATAGTTGGTAATAGTTGGTACATTACCTTCCCCATAAAGAAAGCCAGGTGAAGGAGGAAGTTAACCTATTTCCATGGTCCAAATAGTGATATGTTAAATTCCTTCTTCATTAGGCATTCTTCCTAACTCCTAAAATGACCTGAGGAGGAAAAGCCAAAAAGACCAATTGAGGATTTAGTTTTTTATCTGAACAGATAAGTAAGCTACATTCCACAGGTTTATGTTTTGCTTAGCCACACACCTGCAGTGTGCATCAGAATATGCCACATTCTCCCCGAGCCGTGTCCCATAAAACTAGGATATCTAGGGTGGATATGTAGATATCTCGCTTTGGTTCATCTGAACTGAAGACAAAATCCAAAAAGTAGGGAGCAGCTATCATTAAGTATCTTCCCAAAAGGAGTAAAAGTATACACTGACTAGGTCTCACTGACTAGTACAGCCTTGTATTTAATGTTTTGTGTTTTCTAAATAAAGTATATCCAATTTCTAGTATATAGTGAGGATGGATAGCTTTTTTCTCTTAAAAAATGAGACTGACAATATGTTTTCCTTTTCTTTAATTGTTGAAATAATCTCCAAGATTCCTTTAAGAAATTCCCTAAGGAAAAAACAACTTAAGGGCCAAACTTAGTTTGAGAAAAACAATTAGGTATAAGGTGCTCTTTGGAAATTTCAGGTAGATATTCCAAAAGACAATGGAAAATATAAGACTGAATTTCTCATAAGTGGAACTTCCATAAACAAAGCAACCATGGAGGAATTTATTTTTTTATATAATATTGAGAAAAGCTTTATTTTCTCTAAGGAACTGGTGTGTTTCTAATTTTCAGATAATAAAATAATATAAAGAATTATGGTAATACCTTATAAAGTTTGCATTGTAGTAGGCAGGAACAGTTAATAAGTTCATATGCATTTAATATTCACAAGTTTGTTAAAAATATACTCTTCGTCCTCATGTTAAAGAGAAGAATAATGAGATTCAGAGTGCTAAGTAACGTATCTAAAATCATACAGCTGTTAAGTGTTGAAGCCATCATTTCAGCTCACTAACTCTGGAGTCTACACTTAGCCACTATGCTATACAGCCACTAACTAATATTCATTTTTGTATTGGCTTCTATGAAGTTCAGAAACAAACCTGCAGTTTAACTTTAGCAACTCATCCTTCCTTTCCTCCAACTTACTACTCATATTTATATATTTTTGTGCTTTGTGAGACGTGTGTCTTTCTGTAAGCCATTTCCATTCCTTTGTGGAAGAAAATACCCTATAAAATAATATTTCTTCAATATATACAAGCTACACATTCACTAATATAAGGAGAATAATGGAATAATGAAATGTCAGATAGAGATTTTGAGGAGAAACGGGGATAAGATTTTTCCTATAAGTAGGGTATGGTTATTTGTGATGCAGAATAATAGAGAGGGGTGAAGGCTGAGGAAAGACAAATGGCTGAAGAGGTTTGGGAATGGAAGACCTGTTTCATGTTAGCAACCAATAAAAATTTGGGTTAGTGAGAGTGGCTGCTATAAGCCACTCTTCCAAGAAGGATAAAGCTGGAGAAGGAATGAAATGGTGTCATGAGAGATTATAATTTTGCCTGAATGTTACTAGATATAAGCAAAGTAGACCATAGGGAATATATTAATTACTATCACAGTAGAGAGATAACTTACAGCTTCATTATCTGTACAGGACCAAATTGATTAATTAGATTTATTCATCAATTTCTCTTTCTCTTTCCCTCTCTCTCTCTCTCTGTGACACACACACACACACACACACACACACACCCCTTGCATACAAACTTTTAGTACTATGACAAATTATCTACAATTTCCAAAATTATTTGTAATGTCATATAAATCAGAAAAGGGTGATTAAAACCAGTTGTTAACCTCAGAAAAGCACTAGATAAGCCATTAAGTATTGAAGAAGTTAATGTTAATAGAAGCGGATATAAATAATTTAATCAGGACATAAAACCTATGAAAATTGTAGGGAATAAAAGATAGATAAATAAGAAAGGGTTATCTATAGCTTTCATAAAGGACATTGAAATTCCCTTTCAATTCAGGGAAAGGAGGTGTAATTTGAATACAGAAGATTGAAGGAGGCAGTTAATATGTACCTTGGAACTTTAGAATAAAGAAAGAAAATAAGGATATTAATCCAAGGAGCTTAACTGATGATTTCATAAAATTATTGTAGATCTGGAGTTGTAAAGGGAGTTCTCAGAAAGATTGAAGAGATGTGAATAAGCAAGACCAAAAGGAGAAGAGAAACTAAATGTATTCTATCATGGGACTTAATCAACTGTTTAATCTCAATCCCATATGCCCCATTTGATTATGCTGACAAGTCAAAAGTACATTCATCTAAATTTTTAAAGTATTTAGACATTAACCAATATAATATGAGTTATCTAAATTTCACATTGCAAATAAAAATTAGATCAACCATTTAAATTGAGGCAATAAGAGATGACATTAAATTATTCAATGACAAATAACTCTATCCAGTTAAATGTCATACACATTTGAAAGGAATTTACTTGTCAGAAAGATAGCTAACTGCTGAAATGACAAATAGTATGGTAAATGCAGAAAAAAGGTCAATTAGTAAGCTGATGTTTTTGAAAGCAATGTCTTTTGGCATTTATTATATCATCGCTGTATTATTCCCTTTTATTTATAAAGATGGGTAACATTCATACCATATGCATCTCTCATTCAGACTAAGTAGTAATTATATTTAAAATATACATTGAAAGAAATGATAATATGGTGCTAATCATATTCTTTTCTTTTAAATGGCTGTATAGAAAAAAAGCAACCTCAAACACTTGGATAAAAAGAAAAATAGCAACTGCAACATTTGTGACCCAGGATTTAAACTGGCAAATAAAAGTATTCATTGAAAGAATATACAGACAAGTCTGTTTTGACCATTTTAGAAAATGTCAAACTAGTTTTGGATTCACTTAAATGAGTTCAGGTGGTAATTAGAACAACTAATTCAAAAGGATAGTCAGAAGATATTATCATAGTTATGATATTACACAGAGAGAGTTGGAGTAATTCCTAGTGATGGTAATTTTTTTTTTCAGTGTAAGAAAAATCTCAAGCTTCCCATTTTATGGTTTTAAAGTTGTCAATAGAATTGTTTGTAGTAGACTACTATATATCCTGCAAAAATGTTCACACACTAATCTCTGCAACCTGTTAATATATGTCAAAAGGGACTTTACAGATGTGATTAAGATTGTGGAAATTGAGATGGATTGATTATTTTGGATTATCTGGGTGTCTCCAATCTGATTATGGGACCACTTAAAAGTGGAGAACCTGTCTCTACTGAAGTTATGGAAAGATGTGGCAGAAGAGACACAGCACTGTGAGAAGTATTCCAGGTGCTGCTTGTTCTGAAAGGCAGCGTCCTACACAGAAGCACCAGAAGAGAGGCTGCTGGGAACAAAGAGTGGAATCCAGCAAGAAAATACGACCCCTACTGCCTGGTACTGAATTTCGCCAACAACCTGAATGAGTCTGAAAACGGATTCCCCTCTAGGGCATTCAGAGAGGAACATAGCTCTGCTGAAACCTTGGTTTTGGCCTTGTGAGATATGAGCAGGGAAACTAGCCAAGTACACTGGATTCTGATTTACAGAACTGTGAGAAAGTTTGTGTTGTTTTTACCAATGAAATGTGGGATTAAGAAAAGAAATACTGGGTTAACTTTCTATACATACTTTGTCACTGTATGTATAGAAAGCTAACCCAGTATTTCTTCAGCTTTTCTGACATAAATTCATGTTTTTCTACTGGCTAAAGTTTTTGCAGGGTATTAGTGCATATGATGTTCTAGAGTTGTTTGCTGTAAAATGCCCTCCATTTAACTGCCAGTATAACATGGTTTCATGAGGGCTGAAAGATAGTATGCTGGAATACAAATAAAAGTTTAAAAATCACAGAAACCCAGATTTGGATACCTGTTCTACAATTTCATTCTGTTGCGCAAGTCCTAATCTTTAATTTACCACTTTGCTACTTAATGACAATACTGTCTACACAAACTTGAGATAATCTATGTAAAAGTAGCTTTACACACTACTTGAAACTTATGTTTAATAAAGCAAATTTCCTTATCATCTGTCTTTCTTGGACAAAGTTATCTACCCCACTATCCTATACGTGACTCCTAGGGACTGCTTTAGGTTAAAATAGCCTATTTTTAAAATTTATTTTATGTTTATGACTTATTTTCTTCCGATAATAGAGATGGTCATTGTTTAACACATAAACAACTCATCAGGAATCATATTTCTATTGAGTTGCATTCTTGTTGATGTATGTGATAAGCTGGGAATTGACATTTTTCCAGGCAAGGTTTCATGTGGAAATAAAAGATGTTTACAGTGGATCACTGCAGGGAGGTAATGCCTAACATGACTCCATGATAACTTCCTGAGACAACCAGCTATTATTCTGGAGAATCTAGGTTGAAGAAGTAGGAAACAAGAAAAGTCTTCTGTTGGGGAAAATGAAAAAAGATTGTCAAAATCAAATAAAATATGGATCCATCTCTAAAATTTAAAACATTTTTATTTGGGAGGCAAGAACTGCAATTTGGGGCATAAACACAGACCAGGTGGTCTTTGGTATGTCCAAAGAACAAAGAGCAGGCTGGAAGTTTTAGTAAAACATGGAAATATTACATATTGTTTTGCAAGAAAGTTCATTGGCACTGGTAAATTTTGGGGGAACTGGCAAGTGGGCAGTTTTAGAGTCTCAGCAGGTTCTTTCAGGAGCCATTAGATAAAACTGGTTTCAGGTTACAGCAGCCAGTTTCAGCAGCCAGGTTTGCAAAGAACTTACATTTTTGGAGCAATGTTACGTGCCCTTAGTCCTTTTTTCCCCCTGGCTTTTCTACTCTGTTTTAGTTGGGTATGGCTAGAATGACCTAATTTGTATGACAAACTTCCATGAGATGATGTCAGAATAAACTTTATTCACGTAATAATTTTTTTTCCCCACTAAGGTTAACCTTTCCTGAAATCACGGATTAGATGTATACTTTCTATACTTCATTTTCTAAATAAACCAAAAAGAACTATATAATGGTATAAGATGTTTTAAATTTTCAGAATATTATATATATTTTATATTCATTCTCTTATAAAGTGAATACTTCTGTCTCTATTTCCTTCACGTATTTATAGTGCCTACAATACGTGAAACATTATGGGTGCTGCATACATGGTCCTATTATTTATTCATAATAAATGCAAAAAATTATTTAGGCTGAATAGAGCAGAAAAATCTAACTGGATTTGGGAAAATGTAGAAAATTATTTTCAGCTAACACTATAATAGCAACTCAAGAGTATAGATTTCTTGTTTGTGGAAATTTAATTTTTTGTTTTGTTTTGTTTTGATTTTTGTTTATTTTCTTATTTCTCAATCAAGAAGTAATTATATACGATATTTACTCTGTGCAAAACGAAGCAGAAGAGAAACGCAGAATATAATTTGTCTGCAATAGAATAAAATATACACTTCAAAAACTATACTGAATTGCCCTGGTATTCCAAATGTTGCAGCAGCTACAGGATGGCAGAGACTCCATCATCCTTAGAGTGTCTAAAGCAGAGACCGTTACTTCACCATTAGTTGACATTAGCATGTACAAGAAATAAACATTTTTTTTTTTAGACGTGGTTTAGCTTTCTTGCCCATGCTGGAGTGCAGTGGCATGATCAGAGTTCACTCAGCGTTGACTTCCTGGGATTAAGTGATCCTCCCACTTTAGCCCCCCAAGTAGCTGGGAGCACAGATATCACCACTACACCCTGCTAATTTCTTTTTCTTTTGTAGAGATGGGAGTCTCCCTGTATTGCCCAGGCTGGTGTTGAACTGCTGGGCTCGAGCAATCCTCCCACTTCAGCCTCCCAAAATGCTGGGATTACAGGGATTACAGACGTAAATCACCATGCCCAGCAGAAAGAAACATTTTTATTGTTATTGCTAAGCACTGAGTTTTGGAATTTGTTTATTATCATAACATAATTTAGCCTATCCTAGCTGAGATGGACACTGTTGTATAGAATTATGGTCCTGACCTAACAAATACCTTAAATATATGACATCATTTTAGTGGTGGAGTCGTGGTGTCTAGAAAAATGGTATGTTATACAGTAGCAAAACATTTGGTAAAACTGTCCAGCAATAACTTGTGTCAAGTAGATCATGAACATTAGTGATGATGTTGGGTGCTTTTGTCAAAGTTTTATATAAAAAAAGATGAGCTCAGGGAAGAACTGCCTGGAATAAAGAATAGAGAGAGTGAGAAAGAGAAGTCTTTGCCAATTGGAAAAGGGCAACTGCTTCAGGACTTCAAATATAAGAGTAGAAAATACATTTAAAGAGGTAGTTGAGGATGGAAGTCATTTAATCCTTGCCTGGGAGCAAGGATCAAATCAAGTTTTTAACTGTCATACATTATTAATCATTAATATCTCTTTGGTGATTACTGTGGTGCCCAGTAAATCCCTTCAGTTTATAAATGATCACTTAGTCTCCCAACATTTCATAAACTCTCATTACACTCAATTGTGCCTGTTGGACCTACTATGAACTTATTGTGTCCCAACAAATTTATATATTATAGACCTAACTTGCAGTGTTGATGGGATTTGGAGATAAAACCATTAAGAGATAATTAGGTTTAGATAAGGTCATGTGAATATGGGGCCCTCAGAAGGGTATTAATGCACTTATAAGAAGAGATGCCAGAAAGCCTGCCCTCTTTCTGTTTGCCCTGTGAGGACTCAGTGTGAGGGCCTTTTGTCAGCCAGGAAGAGACCCCATGCCAGAACCCCACCATCCTGGTACCCTGACCCAGGACTCCAACTTCAGAACTGTTGAGTAAATAAATGACTGTAGTTTAGGCCACACAGTTGATGGTATTTTGTTATGGTAGCACCAGCAAACTAATAAAGGCCATTACACAGATTTTCTGAGTAAGTATCATCGAAAAATGAACCTCTAGTATTATGCTTGGTGAACAGTATATACTCTGGAAATCTAACTGCCTGTTGAAGAGTCTATATTAGTTTGCTAGGGCTGCCTAGCACAAACTGAGGAGGTTAAAGAAGACAAATTTATTGTCTCGCAGTTCTGGAAGCTAGAAGTCCAATATCAGTGTGTCAGCTGGGTTGATTCTTTCTTAGGGCTGCGAGAGATAATGTGTTACATGTCTCTCCCCTCATTTTTGGTGGTTTGCTAGGACTCTGACTTTCTTTGGCTTTACACATTCTATGCTGTCATCTTCAAATAGTGTCCTTTTTGTGTGTGAGTCTCTGTGCCCAGACATATAGTGGGGTGTGTGTGTGTGTGTGTGTGTGTGTGTTTTGAAAGCTTTTTATATTAAAAAGTGACAAAAAAATTCCAGAGAGCTCCCATGTAATTTTCATTCAACTTCCCCAATGATAAAATCTTCTATTACCATAGTACAATTATCAAAACCAGGAAATTGACATTGGATCAATGCTGTTAACTAAATTTAGGACTTTATTCAGATTTCAATGACTTTTATATGCACATTTTTCAGAAGAGTTTTATGAAATTTTATCACATATTTAGATGTGTATAATTACACAGTTAGGAAACAGAACTGTTTCAACACGCCAAAGGCACTCTCAAATGTCTCCTTTATAATCCAACCCTAACCCTAGCAATCCCTGATCTGTTTGCCATAATTATAATTTTGTGATTTCAGGAATGATGTATAAAAAGATCTTACCATATGCCACATATTGATACTGGCTTTTTCATTCCAATGAGAGGTCCTTGAGATTTATTCTTATTGCTCCATTTATTAATAGTTGTGTATAGTTCATTACATGGATGAACCAAAATTTATCTTTCACCAAGTTTACATTTAGATCTATGATCCATTTGAGTTGATTAAATTTCACTATTGTTTTTCTGTTTTCAATTTTATCAACTGCTTCTACTATCTTGATTATTTCCTTTCTTCTCCTTTGTTTGGTTTTACTTTGCCCTTCTTTTTTTAGTTTCTAGAAGTAAGAGCTTAGATTCTTGATTTTTATGTCATTCTTACTTTTGAATGTGAACATTTAGTGCTATAAATTTCTCAGTGCTGCATTAGCTGCAGCCCACAAATTTTGATATGTGTGTTTTCATTTTCATTTATTTCAATATTTGTTTATGTTTCATTTTCTTGCTGGGATCCTTGCTCCCAGGTTAGGATTAAATGACTTCCCCTTTGACACATAACTTATTTAGAAGCCCGTGTTTTAATTTCCAGGTATTTGGAGATTTTCACACGACTTTACTTGTATTCATTGTTCATTTTATTCCATTATATTCAGATAAAATAATCTGTATACTTTTCTTTCTTTATTTTTGTAGCTTATTTTGGGACCCACAGTGTGGGCTATATTGCTGACTGCTGCAATGGCTCTTACAAAGAATGTGTATTCTGCTTTTGTTAGGTGTTGTGTTGTGTTCTATAAATGTCAGTTGGATTCTGTTGGTTGATGGCATTTTTGAGTTCTATGTCCTTGCTGATATTCTGATAAGTAATTCTTGAATAGAGTTTATGTTTTCAACCATGATTGTGTTTATTTTTATTTTTCCTTTCAGTTCTATTAGTTTTTGTCCCAAGTATTTTGAAGCTTTCTTGTTGCCTACGTATTTAGAATTGCTTATGTTTTCTTGCTGTGTTGACTTATTTTTATCAGTATGTAATGTGCCTTTCTGCTCCTGGTACTGTTTCTTTGTTGTGCAGCCTATTTTATCTGTTAATAATATTGCCATTCATGCTTTCTGTTGACTAGCGCCTGTGTTGTATCTCTCTTTCCATCTATATATTTTCAACTTGCCTGCATTGTTGTATTTAATTTTTTTTTTTGACAGCATAGAGGTGGTTATTAGTTGTTCTGGGGGCTTTTAAAAAACCTACTCTGCCAATCCCTTTTTGTAATTGATGTACTTAGGCCATTTGATTTTTATGTAATTAGTAATATATTAGGACTGAGGTGTACCATTTTATTTTTTGTTTTCTGTTTTTTGTTTCTCTGTCTTTTTTTCTCTCTATCGCTGTCTACTTTGCCCTGGCCTCTTATAGGTTACTCAATCATTTTTTAGAATTCCATTTTGGCTTATCTGTAGTGTTTTTGAGCATATTATGTTCTATAGGTCTGTTAGCAGTTGTTCTAGATACTTGATTATATATACATAATTTACAACATTTTAGGAAGGGTATAGGCTTTTTCATGGCTGAAAAGGGGAGCATAAGAGATCTTTAGAGAGATGGAACAATTCTGCGTCTTGATTTAAGTAATGATCACGAGTGGTTTTGTGTTGTGAGGAGATAGTGAATCTTATAAAAACTTCAAGTAATATAAACTGCACTTATTCTAGCCAAAAATGCTATCAACCAAGTAGTGGTCTCAGTTGGACTTATTAGTAAACACAATTTTATCTTGCGATTTTACATTATGTTTTCAAATTACATAAACATCCTACATATAATTGGCATTACACCTTTGCTATTTACTCATGAATGTAACAAACCTTTCTTATTCATAAGACATTATTAATATCTTTGAATTATTCAGCTTAACATTATTTTCATGGATAATCAATCATGCATTCTAGAACAATGAACATGGGCTGTATGACAACAAAACAAACTTTTAGAAACTAAGTGACTTTCAACTCTCATGTAAGCAATTACATTTCTGTTGAAATATATAAAAGAAAAAACAGTTTTTTAACGGGATTTTTTTCCTTTTCAGCATCATGGTGCCAAAAATAACTATCTTATATTGCTTAAACATTATTATATTCTTGTATATGCATGGTATTCTTTCAAAATATTTTTCCTAATTCCTAGAACCTGTGACTGTTACGTTATTTGGAAAAGTTTTCGTTGGTGTAATTAAACAAAAATCTGTTTTTTTTTAAAATTGTTTTTTATTTTACCTTAAGTTCTGGGATACAAGTGCAGAACATGTAGCTTTGTTATATAGCTATACGTGTGCCATGGTGGTTTGCTGCGCCTATCAATCCATTATATAGGTTTTAAGCCCTGGATGAATTAGCTATTTTTTCTAATGTTCTCCCCCTCTTTGCACCCCACCCCCACCCCTTGACTGGCCCCAATGTGTGGTGTTCCCCTCCCTGTGTCCCTCTGTTCTCATTATTCAACTCGCACTTCTGAGTGAGAACAGGTGGTGTTTGTTTTTCTATTCCTGTGTTAGTTTGCTGAGGATGATGCCTTCCAGCTTCATCCATGTCCCTGCAAAGGACATGATCTCATTCCTTTATATGGCTGCATAGTATTCCATGGTGTAGGTGTACCACATTTTCTTTATCGAGTCTATCATTGATGGGCATTTGGGTTGATTCCATGTCTTTGCTATTATAAATAGAGCTGCAATAAATATATGTGTGCATGTGTCTTTATAGTAGAATGATTTATATTCCTTTGGGTACATACCCAGTAATTTGACTGCTAGGTCAAATCATATTTCTGGTTCTAGAGCTTTGAGGAATCACCACACTGTCTTCCACAATGGTTGAACTAATTTACATTCTCACCAACAGTGTAAAAGCATTCCTATTTCTCCATAGCCTCACCAGCATATGTTGTTTCTTGACTTTTTAATAATCGCCATTCTGACTGATGTGAGATGGTATTTCATTGTGGTTTTGATGTGCATTTCTCTAATGATCAGTGATGTTGAGCTTTTTTTTATGTTTGATGACCATATAAGTGTCTTTTTTTTTTTTTTTTTTTTGAGACAGGGTCTCGCTCTGCCACCCAGGCTGGAGTGCAGTGGCATGATCTCTGCTCACTACAACCTCCGCCTCCCAGACTCAAGCAATTCTCCTGCCTCAGCCTCCTGAGTAGCTGGGATTACAGGTGTGTGCCACCATGCCAGGCTTGTTTTTGAATTTTTAGTAGAGATGAGGTTTTACCATGTTGGCCAGGCTGGTCTTGAACTCCTGACCTCATGATCTTCCTGCCTCCACCTCCCGAAGTGCTGGGATTACAGGTGTGAGCCACCATGTCCAGCCAAATGTCTTCTTTTGAGAAGTGTCTGTTCATATCCTTTGACCACTTTTTGATGGGGTTGTTTTTTTCTCATAAATTTGATTAAGTTCCTTATAGACGCTGGATATTAGACCTTTGTCAGATGGGTAGATTACAAAAATTTTCTCCCACTCTGTAGATTGCCTGTTCACTCCAGTGATAGTTTATTTTGCTGTGTAGAAGCTCTTTAGTTTAATTAGATCCCATTTGTCAATTTTGACTTTTGTTCCAATTGCTTTTGGTGTTCTTGTCATGAAGTGAAGTATTTCCCCATGCCTATATTCTAAATGGTATTGCCTAGGTTTTCGTCTAGGGTTTTTATGGTTTTGGGTCTTACAGTTAAGTCTTTAATCCATGTTCAGTTAATTTTTGTATGAAGTGTATGAAAGAGGTCTGTTTCAGTTTTCTGCATAAGGCTAGCCAGTTTTCCCAGCATCATTTATTAAATAGGGAATCCTTTCCCCCATGGCTTGTTTTTGTCAGGTTTGCTGAAGATCAGGTGGTTGTAGGTGTTTGGCGTTTTTTTCTGAGGCCTCTGTTCTGTTCCATTGGTCTATATATCTGTTTTGGTATCAGTAGCATGCTGCTTGGGTTACTGTAGCCTTGTACTATAGTTTGAAGTCAAGTAGTGTGATGCCTCCAGTTTTGTTCTTTTTGTTTAGGATTGTCGTGGCTCTGCGAGCTCTTTTTTGGTTCCATATGAAATTTAAAGTAGTTTTTTATAATTCTATGAAGAATATCAACAGTAGTTTGATAGGAATAGCATTGAATCTATAAATTACTTTGGGCAGTATGGCCATTTTCATGATATTGATTCTTCCTATCCATGAGGATGGAATGTTTTTCCACTTGTTTGTTTCCTCTATTATTTTCTTGAGCAGTGGTTTGTAGTTCTCCTTGAAGAGGTCCTTCACTTCCTTTATTAGCTGTATTCCTAGGTATTTTATTCTCTTTGTAGCAATTGTGAATGAGAGTTCATTCATGATTAAATAAAAAAATCTTAGGGATTATTCAGGTGAATTTGTCAGCTTGTTTTATAAGTTCATTAAATAAATGTGTTAAAATATGCCACTATGATATGAAATTATTTATTACTTATGTTTTTGTCCAAATTTGTTTTCTATATTTTATGGCTATTTTATTATGTAGGGTCCAGGTCGTTATTGCATCTGGACACTCTTACACTGTGAGAGCACTTAAAACTCAGTATTAAATGTCTTTCTTTTTTGTCAACTCATGTTATGTGATTTTAACGCATGTATCCCAACAGTTTGTTGTTACAGCCTCTAAGGAGTATTTATATATGTTTTATTTTCAAACCATGTGGGTCAGGTCAAGCAATTTTAAGTGTAACACAATGTTGTTTTGTGGGTTGGAGATTTACTTCTAGCTTACATTATTCAAATAATATAGTTTTTAAATGATCCAAATTTAAGGGAAAGAGAGTGTTTCTGATTGACTCTTCACATTAGCTAGCAGTGTATTTTCACACTTCACATAGTCTGCAAACAACTTGAAAATTTAAACACAGTTTTACTCCCTTTGTTTAAGTCATTGATACAAAAACCGATTGCAGTGCTTTACTTCCCAACTGGCTTCTTTTTTGTCATATGTTTACTTTGAGTAATATATTACTTTAATGATTGCATGTTGACTCTTTCAAGACAGTTGGTTCTGATATCTCACCTGCCATACTGCCAAAAGTAAAATATTCATGCCTTATTTCATTTGTCATTTCAAGTATCATGAATTGATTATAAAACGTATTCTAGTCTCATTATTGATAGTGGTTATGTTCTAGAAAGTCAAGAAAAAACAGAATTATTGAATAATAAACCATTTATTTGGCCAGGTGCAGTGGCTCATGCCTGTAATCCCAGCACTTTGGGAAATCAAGCCAGGGTGATCACTTGAGCCCAGGAGTTTAAGACCAGCCTAGGCAATATAGTGAGACCCTCATCTCTACATAAAATAAGAAAGTTAGCCGGGCATGGTGGTGCATGCCTGCAGTTCCAGCTACTCGGAAGGCTGGGGCAGGAAGATTGATTGAGCCGGAGAAGTTGTGGCAGCAGTGAGTGGTGATCATGCCACTGTACTCCAGCCTGAGTGACAGAGTGAGACACTTTATCAAAAAAAAAAAAAAAAAAAAAAAAATTCCAGGAGATATAAAGAATGAGGTTTCTATGAGCTTTTAGTCACAACATTTTCACTGACTAATCAATATGTAAAATTGTGTTTTGTTTGTTTTGTTTTGTTTTGAGTCAGAGTCTCGCTTTGCCTCCCAGGCTGGTGTGCAGTGGCACGAGCTCGGCTCACTGCAACCTCTGACTCCCGGGTTCAAGCGATTCTTATGCCTCAGCCTCCTGAGTAGCTGTGATTACAGGGTGCACACCACCACGCCCAGCTAATTTTTGTATTTTTAGTTGATACGGGGTTTCACCATATTGGCCAGGCTGGTCTTGAACTCCTGACCTCATGATCCGCCCGCCTCAGCCTTTCAAAGTGCTGGGATTACAGGTGTGAGCCACCGTGCCTGGCTATAAAATTGTTTTAATATATACTATTTACTTATTAACAATCAACAGCACTGTAATTTGTGCTTGGATAAGTGTTAGTGAAAATGTAAATTTTCAAATACAGAATCCACAGTCGTCATGACCAACTTTATATGCCTTGAGGCTACAGTAAGTGCTTAGAAAAGTCATGCAATGATGTTTATGGCATCTTCATGGCATTTGCACGGCTCTCAGTTTGGATTTGCCCACCATCCTAAACAGAATTAACAGGAGCCACTGAGATTATGTGTTTAAATCTCTAGTACCATGAAATAATATAATTCATGGGAGACACTCTGCCTGATCCTCAGTTTTGGTATTCCACTGACCCAGAGCCCAGTAATTCATGAGGAATTACAGCCTATTTGTCAAATAGATTATTGAAATGAAAGTTAATCAATATTCATATTCATTTAAAAAAGAAAAGCAATAAATCAAACAGTTCCATGCCAGTCATGTACATTTATAATATCACTTAATCTCACAACTGCTCTGGACAGATTATATTTTTATGTCATCAATCATAAACTCAAGGCTCAAAATGGTTAGTCACCTTGCCCATGATTTTATACCTAAATACAACTGAAAAATGGGGAGTGAAGCCATGTGTGTCAAACTGTAAAGTTCATGATTTTTCCTTGCCTCACTTTCTGTCCTTTGCCACTGAGTTGTGTGGCATTTCTTTACTTCAAAAACAAAACTATGTTTGCTGTCTATAATTACAAGGCATTGAACTACTTCCTGATATTTCTGGCTTTCAAACCAGCTTTGAAAAATATTAGACAAGGCAGCCGTTTGTCCTCAAAAGCTCCATTTTCTGAACACACTTCTATTGAGAGATACTATAAGAGAATGTCTTTTTCTGCAAGTGTGAGTTATTAAATCTCATGTGCATCATAAGGCAATAAAACAGTTTTGAAATAATTAAGCATAGCTACTTCTTCTTTATCTCTGCACTGAGATCCACCAGGCACCATTTTTCAATTAGTTAAAATATAAAGAATTACTTTGAACATGACTTTATCTTTCTTCTCTTTTTCTTCACCTTATAAATAAAGAAAAGAAGAGAATATATATATACATGTATGTATATACATAATATACATACATGTATATATACATGTATGTATATATATAATATACCTACATGTACATAATATACCTACATGTATATATACATATACGTATATACATAATATAGCTACATGTATATATACATGTAGGTATATACATAATATACCTACATGTATATATACATATAGGTATATACATAATATACCTATATGTATATATACATGTAGGTATATACATAATATACCTACATGTGTATATATACATATAGGTATATACATAATATACCTACATGTGTATATACATATAGGTATATACATAATATACCTACATGTGTATATACACATATAGGTATATATACATATGTATATATACCTATATGTGTATATATACATATAGGTATATATACATATATGTATATACATATATACCTATATGTGTATATATGCGTATATGTATATACATATGTATACATATGTATACGTATACATATACGCGTATATGTATACGTATACATATACGCGTATATGTATACGTATACATATACGTGTATATGTATACACATATATGTAAACACATATATTATGTATATTATGTATATACATATATGTATATATACACATGTATATTATGTGTATACATATATGTATATATACACATGTATACATATATGTATATATACACATATATACATATATATGTGTATGTGTATACACACACGTGTATATACACATATATGTGTATACATGTGTGTATATATGTGTCTATATGTGTGTATATATACATATAGGTATATACCTATATGTGTAGGTATACATATAGTTATATTATGTATATACCTATATGTGTAGGTATACATATAGTTATATTATGTATATACCTATATGTGTATACACATATAGGTATATTATGTACATACGTGCGTGTATACATACACACAGGTATATTATGTACATACATGCGTGTATACCTACACACAGGTATATTGTGTACATACGTGCGTGTATACCTACACACAGGTATATTGTGTACATACGTGCGTGTATACCTACACACAGGTATATTGTGTACATACGTGCGTGTATACCTACACACAGGTATATTGTGTACATACGTGCGTGTATACATACACACAGGTATATTGTGTACATACGTGCGTGTATACATACACACAGGTATATTGTGTACATACGTGCGTGTATACCTACACACAGGTATATTGTGTACATACGTGCGTGTATACCTACACACAGGTATATTGTGTACATACGTGCGTGTATACATACACACAGGTATATTGTGTACATACCTGCGTGTATACATACACACAGGTATATTGTGTACATACCTGCGTGTATACATACACACAGGTATGTACATACGTGCGTGTATACATACAGGTATATTATGTACATACATGCGTGTATACATACACACAGGTATATTGTGTACATACGTGCGTGTGTACATACACACAGGTATATTGTGTACATACGTGCGTGTATACATACACACAGGTATATTGTGTACATACGTGCGTGTATACATACACACAGGTATATTGTGTACATACGTGCGTGTATACATACACACAGGTATATTGTGTACATACGTGCGTGTATACCTACACAGAGGTATATTGTGTACATACGTGCGTGTATACCTACACAGAGGTATATTGTGTACATACGTGCGTGTATACATACACACAGGTATATTGTGTACATACGTGCGTGTATACATACACACAGGTATATTGTGTACATACGTGCGTGTATACATACACACAGGTATATTGTGTACATACGTGCGTGTATACATACACACAGGTATATTGTGTACATACGTGCGTGTATACATACACACAGGTATATTGTGTACATACGTGCGTGTATACATATAGGTATATACATATGTATATATGTGTATATATGTGTGTGTGTGTATATATATATATATCTTAAAGAAGAAAAAGAACAAAGTTAATGGCCATGCTTCATGCTTCTGTGTTTTCTAGTGTTAAATCAGTAATTTTCTTGTTTCAAATATAAATGATTTCTTTCTATAAACATTAACTTTATGTACTTTAAATCTAGAAATGATTACTCTTCATTTGCAATAAGTATACTGTTTTAAAATTATTTGAAATAGTTCCAAACTTACAGAAAATTTGCAAGTAGAACACAGAGAATTTGTTTTCTGTACCATTTGAGAATAAGTTGCCAATCAGATGCTCTACAAACCAGAACATTCTTATATATAACCACAGATCAACTATCAAAATCAGAAGTTATCATTGATGCATTACTTTTATTTTATTGTCAAACCTTCTTCAAATTTTACCAATTGTACCAATAGTGTCCTTTATTGCAAATGATGCAATTTAAAATCATCTGTTGAATTGAGTTTCTGTATCTATTGTTTTGCGTGTGAAGTAGTTTCTCAGGCTTTTCTTGGCTTTCATGACATGAACACTTTTGAGGATTATACACTGGTAATTTTATAAGAAGTTCCTTTACTTAGTTTCGTCAATGTTTTGTCTGGATTATATTTCAAAAGAATATCACAGAAATGCCACAGCCTGTTAGGTAATATTCGAAGTAAGTTTGGACCATTATGGTGACCTTAATTTTGATCCTACAGTCACAATTGTATCAACAACTTTTCTCCAATGTAATCTTTCCCTTGTATTCAGTAAGTATTTTGTGGAAGTGGAACCTAAATATCTTGCCAATATGCTGTTACCTCTTGAAATTTAGATAATAAATTTCAAAATTGATATTCACTATGGATAAGAACTTCTTTATTTTGTTCAGTGGGTTATAATCTATTACTACCATTATTTATTTAGGTGCTCAAATTGTCCTGTATTTAATCAGTGATGCCCCTTCAATCTGGCTTCTGTGTCTTATGTATATCATATCTCAATTATTCTTTGAACACTTCCTTCTTCTCTGAACAAGTCATTCAGGTTTCAAATGGAAAATATTCTCACTTCAGCCTTGGAATCAGCTCTTTCTCCCAAGAATCCTAGCTCCTTTTAATAGAAAATGGTGTTTAGAAATTAAAATATGGGCAGTAGATATTATCATTGCCTTTAGGGTGCTACTGTTTCTATGCTTTTTCAGTGGCAAGAGCTAGGAAATGTTCCTTATACAGCTATAAGTCATGTATATATAGTCAAAGCTATAGTAAAGACTAATATAATAGTGTCTACCGTATAATCTGGCACATTTTCTTTATCTTAGTATTTCTCTTCTCCCTGAATATGCTAGCTTGTGCCCTTTACTTGGCTCATTTTTTCCAAGTATTTTATTCAAAGTTTTTTGTTTGTTTCTTCATTATCTGCACAGCTGTCAGGTTCTTTCTACCCCTGCTCAGCTGGCTGGCATAGCTGGTAGACTTGTATGTTAAAACCCTGATTCCCAATGCAAGTCCTGGAATCTTATTTTACACAAGTACAGAGATCAAGTATATAAAAGAAGAGGTCACACTGACCAAGACCTTCCATCACAAAAGATCTAAATAAGATGAATAAGCTATTTGAAATTCAGGCAAACTAGAACACAGTAGCCTTGGCTAAACTGGTTAGTTGATACTTATTACCAGCAAATTTTGGCTCTAGGAGAATATTTTCCCAATATTGCCAAATCTGCTTCTCACTTTTGAAAAGACTGTTGAAATTAAGTGAAGTCTGCCAGTTTTAAATGTTGTCAACTAATTAGATTTTTGTTGCCTTGTTTAATATTTTACTGTCCAAAGAATACATGTCTGTATGTCACCACTTTAAAACCTTTTACTTAACAAAGCCCAGGGAATATTTTTCATTGAGGGGGGTAAACATCAGAAAAATAGCTGCTGTTTTATTCCTTTGTGCTTATGAACTACTATATACCAAACCTAGAGCCAAGCATCCTCATTTATCTACTTGAGGGACATTCATTCAGTCCTTACTGTGTACAAGGCATAATGCTAGACAGTGCAGTGGGCAGACAGATAAAAATGCTGAATAGATCCCTCTCCTCAAGACATCATAACATTGCAAGGAGAAGGGTAAGTATATATAAATATCCATATATAATCTCCTAAAGCAGAAAGGGAAACATAAAATATATATATATTTTTATATATATAATATATTTATATTTTATATTTATATATAAAATATATTTGTATATAACTATATAAAATATATTTGTATATAACTATATATAAAATATATTATATATAACTATATATAATGTATTATATATAACTATATAAAATATATTTATATATAACTGTATATAAAATATATTTATATATAACTGTATATAAAATATATATAACTGTATATAAAATATATTTTATGTATATTATATAAATATAAAATATAAAAATATTGTATTTATATATATATTTATATATTTATATAAATATATATATTTATATATTTATATAAATATATATATTTATATAAATATATATATTTATATATTTATATAAATATATATATTTATATAAATATAAAAAACTATATAAAAATATATTATATATAAATATATAATATATTTATACATGAAATATAAATATATTATATATATATGAGAGAGAGAGAGAGAAATAGCCCTAAAACTATAAAACATATTGCAGTAATGATACAACAGAGAAATATGAAAATTCAGATTACAGAACATATTTTATGTTGAAGACATTGGGCTGAAAAGCAAAAACAATGTTGTATGAGCATAGTAATGAAGCAGATTTCTTAACAACTTAGTAAAATGGAGATTGGGAGAAAGTGGTTAGTTAGCATATGCAAAAACATTGAGGTAGAGAGGTAGGAAATACAGGCAGGATCTGTAAAGTAAAACTATTTGTAATGGATCTGAAAGTACGTAAATTAGCATGAAGACCACTGATAGTCCAATCTACCTTAACCTGAGAAGTAGGGATCAAAGACAGTTCTAAAAAAAGTGGCAATAAATGTATGAAAAATAGGATAATGAGAGAGATCATTTGGAAGTAAAATAAATTGTCATTTAGATTAAACAGGGGTTGGAAGAAGTAGAGGAGATAGAGATCAATTAAACATAAATTCCAAATGTTGGTTTGAGATGATAAAGAAAATATCCTTAACGTATCCAGAGTGATGAAAAGAAGACACTATTCTGTGAGGGGCAAGATGGTTCATTCATATTTTAACCTCACTTAAAATGTAGGTGTAAATAATTAATTTATTCATCTGTTTTTCAGAAAGTAATTGTGTAACTACTATGTGCAAAGTGCTGGATCTTGGCCATGGGTGATACAAAAGCCAAATAAGAATAGGTCTTGTCTGAGGAAATTACTGTGTCTACATGCTATTAATGGAGCTATGCTGAGGGCACAGTTGAAGCCCTGGAAATTGGTAAGGATATCATAGGAAAAGGGGAGATCTGACTTAAAGGTATTATATGCTAATCCCAAGGTTTTGCCTTTATTCTGAAGGTTTTTCGAAATCACTGAAGTAATTTGTTCTGACAGTGTAATAATCAGATTCATGTTTTCATAAAACATATCTAGCTATGCTACACATTACCTGCTTATGAATACAAGATATTTGTTAATCCAAGATGGAATGGTGAATGTAATAAAATATTTCCCTCTTACTATATACATATTATTATTATACATTCATTCAATAAATAATAAATGTATATTTTCAATAAAATATTCAATAAACAGGTACATAAATAGTTATTAGTTGTGCAACTACTATAAATTGAACATACATGTGGTAGAAAATAAAAAGGGAGTTCGAGTAATGGGATAGGGCCCTACTTGGTCTATAAGAGGCCAAAATCATATCTTGGAAGGTAAGATATATCAGATTTGAAAGATAAAAAGAGTTGTGTAAAAAGAAGAGTGTATTCTAGGAAGTAGAAATAGCATATGCACAAATTCTAAGGTTTATGGTACTTTTGCTGCATTTTGAAAACATTGTTATTTTGCAGATAAGGTCACTTTCCATAAATAAGCCTTATCTGTGAGGATTTTGAAAGCTGACACAGCTCACCTGTAGATCCTGAAGGGTTGCCAGTTTTAGAGCAGCAGTCATCCTCTCTTTCCCTTTTTCTTTTCCCTATGTAACCCCAAATTTAACTGCAAAAAGGTATTTTTCAAATGTTCAAACTTCCTTTAAATCTCAAAATGAAAGAAAACAAGTCATTTTCAAGATGAAAACCTTAAATGTAGGAACCTTTAATCTTATTTATCCCAAATCTTAAAGCTAATAAAATAAATTTTAGAGACTTGTCAAAAAAATTAAAATCTGCATATATATGACAACTAATTTTGGGAATAGTTTCTAGAGATTGACTAAAACCTATGCATGGGAACCTCAGGTGACATGCAAAAACTGTAACATTAAAAGTTCTACTACTAATTACTATAAGGAAAAAATATCAAAATAACATGTTTGCATTATTCCAAAACTTGAGATATTTCAACATATCATATAATTAATTTTAATGAGATTCTAATTTTAAGTCAAAGGCTTAAGTGTAGAAGAGAAAGTGTATATTATTACATACACGTTTCACAGAACAAGTATTCCATCAAAATTCTTCCGGTTAACTTTATGGTGATGGCAAAACCAATTCAGAGAATTCTAGACATATGAAGTTTTATTAGATTTCTAATAGGGTATATTTGTTAAATAAAATACTGTTCACATTCTTAATATTTAGTTTCTTATATAAAAATTAATTTATATCAAAAGTATAACACATATAAAACACTTTTGAAATGCCGTTAATTTTTTTTAGGTATGTTCAAATAACATGGCATAAAGTGAAAAAAAGTGTAATACAATCAGATAAGTTCACATAAGAATATATACAAGATGTGTCACTCTACAATTAATATCAAGTTATTCCCCTGATTTAAAATAAAGATATTAAAAATTATGTAATTAAGCATTAAGTGTTATGGACTGAATTGTATCCCCCTGAAATTCGTATGTTCAAGTCCTAACCTCCAGTCCTTTAAAGACCCTATCTCAGTATTCGGGGATAGGGTCTTTAAAGAGGTAATTAATTTAAAATGAGTCCACTATTGTAGGCCCTAATCCATTCTGACTGGTGTCTTTATTCACAAAAGAGAATGGGACACAGAGGTGCACACACACAGGTGTGTACAGAGAAAAGACCACGAAGACATGGAGAAAATGGGGCTACCTGCAAACCAAAAAGAGAAGCTTCAGAAGAAATCAAACGTGCTGACATCTTCATTTTGGGCTTCTACCCTTCAGAACTATGAAAAAATTAATTTATGTTGTTTAAACCACCCAGTCTGTGGTATTTACTTAAAACAGCCCTAGAAAAACGGATACTCTATGTTTCCAAAATGATTTTTTTCCTACAAATAACACATAGCAAATAAAAGATATACATTTTCTACAAAATGCATACTCTTACTACATAATTCAAAATAATTTGAGATGTCATATACTGTCATTATAATTTCATGTTTTAGCTTATTTCTGGAAAAATAGCTTCTCTTTATCTTGACACTGTTACACTTAAATAGTTTTTAAAAAGTCATCTTTCAAGCAAAATAATGTTAACATACTGTGAAATATAAAATAAAATATGAAAAATATTCATTGACATATTTCATGTCAATGAAGTTTATGAATAACATGTATTTGTAAAATATTTTGTAAATGTCAGACTTTGATTATGTAGGTCATTAAGCAAATTATACAAATGAGCAAAGTCTAATAGATAAACTGACCCTCATAACTAGTAATGTATTATCAACAATCTAGACTATGCGTGGGATAAGTCTGTGAAATATGTAATGTGAGCAATAAAATATGCAAAATCAGGACCTACAGTATATAGCTTACTCAGTAAAACTTGGCATGCATAATAATTAAACAATTTACTGAAAGAGCAAAATATGCAAAAAAGGGAAAGCAATTTTATTTATTAAACTGTAGTAATGGATCATCAATAGATAGTTTCAGATGATTTAATTTAAAAAATAAGCTGTTTGAATGATCTATGCTGCTCCATCAGCAAATTATGTACCTCAATCATTGAGCTATATGAAAAATTAATTGGCTAACTATGGTATTTTATTATTGCAACAAAGGAAATTCATTGAGACACTAAAAAGTTTATGTGTATAATTTTAAAATCTTATATGGCATCTTAGAGGTTTTTGCAGCTTGCTTCTATTAAATTCCCTTTCTCCCTTTTTCTTGTTTTACTTTTTTTTGGTAAAAGTTGACTGACAGATTATGATGGGATGTAAAAATAAAAGCTTAAAGATAAATAGTAAAGAGCTGTTTTTAAGATTTCACATATGATTATGACTTATTAATTAGTACCAAACTATCCCTTCTACCCCACACACTAGACAGAACATATGAATCAACTGTTTTCAGAAACTAGGTAATAGGGAATACAAGACTGCTATTCCTAAAACCATGGATATTCATCTGCTGTGCCCCATGATATCACTAGGTCTAAGAATAGGAAAACTTCCCAAGCACAGAAGAGCAGACAAGGTACTAAAAAGAGCGCTGAGCTGAGGAGGCAGAGATCAAAGTTCAAGTCAACTGGACCAGAGCAGGAGAGAAAAGGTGGTCCTGCAAGAGGAGATCCCAAATTCTGTACATGGTTCCCCAAAAGAAACTGGGTGAGGGCTGTACTTCATCTGTTCAGGGTGAGACTATAGGAAACTGACAACAGCGTCAATGTCATGAGGCAAAAAAGTGAGCAGAGATGCTAAAACTCAAGTTGTCCTGGTGATACTGCATCCTGACAAGAGTGAAGAGTCCATATTAATGTCCTATTAACATCCCTTCAGATATCTGATATATTAGAAAAGTAGATCCTAGAAGTAAAAACCGTGCTCTAGAATAAGACCTACTCTGCACCCCTCCACAGACACAAAAAGCCTCAAACTAATCCCAACAAGACGTAGATATTTGAAGTTGAGTACTGACAACTTGTAGGACTTTGGGAAACAACTGGACTTTCCATACATCTATCCAATAAAGCATAAACCAAGTTTACCTAAGTTTGTTGAACAAAACTCAGCACTTTTCCAGAAGAGACAATATAATATAGATTTCTTATAGATATTAACAATAAACATTAGTAGACATGGAAAGAAACTAGAATATGGGAACCTTATTTTTTGTTTTTATTTTTTGCATAGTTAATGGAAAAGAACTATCAAATGGTCCAGGTTTGAGACTTATCATAAACATATAATAAATCAGATATTATAAATATATACATAAAATTAAAGGAAGATAATTTTGTAAAATTAAAACAATGGCAAAAGAATATCAACAGAGAAATGAAAATCATAAGGAAATAGGGAAATACAAGAATTAAATTTTTTTTCCTAATTGGGCTTAATAGTAGTTTGGATATGGCAGAAGAAAAGTTCAGTCAACTTGAAGATAGGATGGATAGTCAATTCCCTATGAGAAAGTTGATATGTAATTCATACTCTGTATGGGGTAAGGTAGCTGATAACAAGACTTGAATGGAAAATTGTAGCCATTTTGAGATCAGGTTAGAAGTTTTATCCTGGTATAACAGTGAGTATACTGTTGCAAGTAAAGGCTAAAGAAACATGTTTACAAAAAATATTTAGTAGACTTAAAAAATGAAGTAGAGATGATGAAATCAGTGTGAAGGAGAAAATCAGTGGCTTGAAGCAGCAGCAACAAAATTTCCCAATTTATTAAACGTGGGATAGAAGAGAGTTTGAGAGGGAGGAATCTAGGAAGTGGTGACCCAAATTTATCAGCTTGATTAAATGGGTGTATGAACAAATTAATATGTTCAAAAATATGTTTTGAACATCTACTACATAACAGCAACTTCTTATGGTGTTGAAGATACAACACCATAAGCAACAACACAGTCTACAACACAGTCAGGAATTTCTGCCTTTATGAAGATTTTACAAGGTGGTAAGACAGACAATAAATAAAAAATTATATAAATCTTCTTGAAATACTTTTTTGTGTGTGAACTGAAAGGATGATCAGATTGAGAAAAATGTAAAAATATGATATTATGGCATTCATACAAATTCTCTAAAATATCATTCAGGAGTAGTTAACATATATTTACCTACTTATTTTGGTGACTGGGAGTGTGTCTGGTGGAGATTACATAATAGAAAAAAAAAACAGCATTATTTAGCAACACCTAATAATCATTGTAATAATTCTATATGGAGAAATTAACTCTGTAACACAGCCAATAAATTGTACAAACGATTACATTATACAGTTTTGAATATGCATAGAGCCTAAATGTCTGAAAATAAATGATTGATTTAAAATATATCAGTATGCAAAACAGGATCTACAAAACTCTGATGAAAGAAATCAATGAGCTGAATAGGTGAAGAAATATTCCATGTTCTCGGATAGTAAGAGTCAATAATGTCAAGTTTTAGTTCTTCCCAATTGACCTATAGAGTCAATGAAATCCCATTTAAAATCCCAGCAGGTTATTTTGTGAATATTGACAAATTGATTCTAAAATTTATATAGAGAAGGCAAAGACTCAGAATAAGCAGCACAATACAGTCAGTCCCCTGTATATACATGTTCCACATTTGCAAATTCAATCAATGGCAGCTGGAAACTTTTTGAAAGATAAACAATAAAAAATAACAAACAGAATGGGTGTAGTGGCTCAGCATCTATTATCCCAACATTTTTGGGAGGCTGAACCAGGTAGATTGTTTGAGTCTAGGAGTTTAAGACCAGCCTGGGCAACATACTGTACTATACATAGTATAGACAGTCTTGCTGTCTAATATATATTCATATATATGCACACACACAAAACCCAGCCAGGTGTGGTTGTGTGTGTCTGTAGTCCCAGCTACTCAGGAGGCTGAGGCGGGAGGATTGCTTGAGACTGCGAGGTCAAGGCTGCAGTGAGCTGTGATGGTGCAACTGCAGTCTAGCCTGGGTGACAGAACGAGACCTTATCTCAAAAAAAAAAAAATACGAATACAAATAAGAAACTATACAGTATAAAAACTTTTACTTTTCTTTGTATTGGTGGTTACTATAAGTAATCCAGGAATGATTTAAAGTAACTGGAGAATGTGCATAAATTATATGCAAATACTGTGCCATTTTATATAAGAGACATGACCATTCACAAATTCTGATATCCAACAGGAGCCCTGAAACAAATCCTCCACAGATACTGAGGGAGGAGTGTATTGAAGGGAAAAGGGAAAGAACAGAGCTGTTCGACCAGACCTCAAGACTTAATATAGTTCACTATACACTGTACCTCAAGAATTAATAGAAGCATGGCAGTGTGATATTAGCAGAAGAACAGACAAATCAATGGAGAGCCAGAGAGCCCAGAAATAGAGATCAACAGAGAGCCCAGAAATAGAGCCAGATAAATATATTCAACTATCTTTGACAAAGGAAAAAAGGCAATATAATTGAACACATACAGTCTTTTCAACCAATGGTGCTGGGGTATGCAAAAAATGAATCTAAACACAGCCTTACACCATTCACAAAAGTTAACTCAAAATGAATCATAGACCTAAATGTAAAATGCAAAACTATAAAACAAATAAAAGATAACATAGGAGAAAACCTACATGTCTTTGTGTATGGTAATGGATTTTTAGATACACACCAAGGCAGGATCCATTAAATAAATAATTGACAAGCTGCATTTTATTAAAATAAAAAAACTTCTTGTCTGTAAAAAGCAATGTCAAGAGAGTAAGAATATAAGCCACAGACTGGGAGGAAATATTTGTTTAAGACGTATCTGAAAAAGGACAGTTCTCCAAAATATGCAAGAACTCTTAGAACTTAATAATGAAAAATGAAAAAGCAAATTAAAAAATTAGCAAAAGACCTAAACAAATTTGTCATCGAAGAAGATATACAGATGTCAGATAAGAAGTCCATGAAAAGATGCTCCACATCATATGTCATCAGGAAATGAAAAATAAAGCAACAATGAGATATTACTGTACCTATTACAATGGCCCAAATCCAAGCCACTGACAATATCAGATGGTGGAAAAAATGTCGGACAACAGGAACTCTCATTCATTGCTAGTGGGAATGGAAAATGGTGCAGCCACTTTAGAGGACAGTTTGGCAGTTTCTTACAAAACTAGAGAGTCTTACAATACAACCCAGCAATCATCTCCTTGATATTTATCTAAATCAAGTGAAAACTTATGTTCACAAAAAAACTTGCACATGGATATTTATAGCAGCTTCATTCATAACTGCCAAACTTGGAAACAACCAAGATGTTCCCCAGTAGGTGAATTGATAAACTGTGGTATATCCAGACAATGGAATATTTTTTCAGTGCTAAAGAGAAATGAGCCATTAAGCAATAAAAAAGGAGGAAGTTAAATGCATATTATTAAGTGAAAGAAGCCAGTCTGAAAAGGCTACATACTGTACGGTCTAAACTGTATGACATTCTGGAAAAGGAAAACTATGAGAATAACAAAAACACCAATAGTAGTCAGGGTTTGAGGGAGGAAGGGAGGGATATCTAGGTGGAGCTCAGAGGATTTTTAGAGTAGGGAAGCTACTTTGTATACTATTATGATGGTCATTATACATTTGTCCAAACTCATAAAATGTACAACAACAAGCATGAACCCTAATGCAAACTATAGATTTGGGGGTAATTATGAGGTGTCAATGTAGATTCCTCAATTTTAACAAATACGCCACTCTACTGGGGGATGTTGATAATGAGAGGGGCTGTGTATTTGTGAGGGTAGGGGACATTTGGGAAATCTCTGCACCTTTCTCTCAACTTTACTGTGAATCTAAAACTGCTTTTTAAAAAAGTCTTTAAAAAGCACATATTGGTACAATTAAACTAGTATTTCCCAAGACTCTGTTCATCAAAATCACCTCAGGAGCTTGAGAAAGCTACAGATTTTCCTAATTTACTCAAATTAAATGAGTCAGCATTTCTGGTGGTGGATATGGAGAAACTATATTTTGAAAGCAACCTTTCAAATGATTTTCATGTAGGAGCAGTCACTTACACATACAATGGAATGCTATCAAATAGTTTGTGGCAGAATAATTGATGACACATAAAATGCCTAAAATATACTCCACTGGTAAGCAAAAGAGTACTGAGAAGTATGTTCGTGATGATATGATGTTGTTACACATAAGGAAACACACACATGGAAACACACACTCAGTTTCACATAGTAGTTTTTGCAACACTAAATAGAGGGACACATTTAAACAATAATTATGATTGCTAATTAAGATATAACAGTAATATTTAACAATTTATATTTAGATGCCTATGTCATGATATGCAGATGCTTTCCCTCCCTTGTCTTAACTGTAAAAACTTAATTGAGAGGTTCTTTGTAATTGTTATTGTTTCCCAAAGAAGGCTATATTTTTGGAATTGTGGACAGCTGTAGGAACACACATTCTAAAAACAGAAGTCAGAACCATAATTTTGTTGACTTGAAAGATCAGACTTAGAGTGCAATGTTGGTAATGCTTGCTATTTAGTGTATTTTAGTAGCATCGCTAAAGGACTGACACTAGAGATGAAAATTCAAATCCCACTCTTAGTAAATTATCTGAATGATTACAAATTTCTTAAACTCCATTGTTTCTCTCACCCTTAGGCCTATTTGCCTTTGTAGAAAGTCCTCATATATACAGTCATTCACACTGAAAATAAAGGCAACTTAATAGGAGCTAGAAGAGAGAATTCAGACGAAAGATGTCAGATGTAGAAAATAATCCTCCCAACTCCTGATCAGCAATTTGCTAACTGAAAATCATTAACATTTATGTTTTGAAATATGACTATGACAGTATGGAGGCAATTTATTATAAACTATATAAATTGATTTATAAAAAAGTTTGGTAAATACTGTCTTTCTGCTTAATATTTTGAATAACACAGTTTGGTCTAGAGAAAATGTATGGAATATAATTTCAAAAAATTAGCATTTAACAAAATAATTATATTTGGGATGAGGAAAACTTACTTTCAGATCTGAGGTGCCTCGAGATGACTCTTATGAGCCTCCTCTGTTCTTGTAAAAGTCCTGAAACCAGAGAGGATAATAAGAACAATTAAGAACCAATTCATTTTCTCTGCAACCTTGCCAGCATATGTTTTTATTTTTTAGTAATAGGCATTCTGACTGGTGTGAGATGGTATCTGATTGTGGTTTTTAATTGTATTTCTGTAATGATCAGTGATGTGGAGCTTTTTTTCATATGATTGTTGACTGCATGTATGTCTTCTTTTGAGAAGTGTCTGTTCATGTCCTTTGCCCACTGTTTAATTTTTTTTTCTTGTAAATTTGTTTAAGTTCCTTATAGGTGCTGGATATTAGAACTTTGCCCAATGCATAATTTGCAAAATTGTTCCCTTATTCTGTAGGTGGTCTGTTTACTCTGTTGATAGCTGTTCAGAAGCTCTTTAATTAGATTCCATTTATCAATTTTTGCTTTTGTTACAATTGCATACATTGTTGGTGGAAGTGTAAATTAGTTGAATCATTGTGGAAGACAGTGTGGTGATTACTCAAAGACCTAAAGACAGAAATACCATTTAACCCAGCACTGCCATTACTGGGTATATACTCAAAGGAATACAAATCATTCTATTATAAAGACACATGCAGGCATATGTTCTTTGCAGCACTATTCACAATAGCAAAGACTTTGAATCAACCTAAATGCCTATCAATGATTGGCTGCATAAAGAAAACATGGTACATATACACCAGGGAGTAATATGCCACCATGAAAAAGAACAAGATCATGGCCTTTGCAGGAACATGGATGGAACTGGATGCCACGATCCTTGGCAAATTAATGCAGGAACAGAAAACCAAATATGGCATGTTCTCACTTCTAAGTGGGAGCTAAATGATGAGAACACATGAACACAAAGAGGGAAACAACACACGTTGGGGCCTATTGGAGGTTGGAAGGTGGGAGGAGAAGAGGATCAGGAAAAATAACCAATGGATACTCGGCTTACTACTTGAGTGATTTAATAGTCTGTGTAACAATCCCCCATGACATATGTTTACCTATGTAACAAACCTGAACATCCTGCACATGTACCTCTGAACTTAAAATAAAATTTAAAATAAACAAGTAAATAAAACAGTGCCCAGCATTCAAAAAACAGTGAATTCTATTATTTACTCATTGAAGCAATTACATAATAGGTTTAACTGTTTTGTTTTCTTATTTATTTTGTTTATATATTTATATTTATTGGGTTAATCTCTAAATGTAGTTTTCTTACATAGACAAAAATGTGTTGTTGTCTACCCAAGGATTAATTAATGATGGTCTCACATAAGTAGAAAAAATATTTAAAAATTTAGTTCCTGGGGTAAGAAAGTAACACAAAACACTTAGCAGACCCTTTTGCTCTGAAACATCACTAGGGCTGTGATGAGAACATTCGCCAAACCACTTCCACATGCATTTCTGTATAGAATCAACAAGGATGGATCACTGATATGTGTTTTGTGAGTCTTTAAAATTTTAAGACAGGAATTTTTGTTACAGGATATTTGGGCATAATGCTAATGCCTATTCAACAGTGATTGCTAAATAAATGAGGCTGGCACTAATGCTGACGAAGGCTTCAAGTGAGTTTAGAAGCGGGTAGAACCAGAGATTGAATCTAAATCTGAAACTTGAACTGTTTGACCTTAGGGAAAGTTATTATAAGTTTTCTACATCTTTGAAAAGATAAAAAATAGTGAAAGAAAAAAACAGGGTAAAGCACTGGGTTGCAGAACTCTTTGTGATTATGAGTGGTAATGTAAGAGTTCCCCCAAATTGTTTTACTCAGAATTGGCTTTCAATAAATAAAAGTTATATCTTCTTGGAAGCAGAATGCTGTGGTAGAATGAGGGCTTCTAATTTCAATTCTAACATCTATGTGACCTTGTATCGAAGTCACTTACTTCTCTGAGCCTTCATTCTCTTGCATTAAAAGAGAGAAATAATGCTTACACAGGCTTTGTGACCTTAGCCACATAACTTTGCCATTCTCAATGACAATTTCTCTAAGCCTAAAATGAAAATGATTTTACGATTTTGTATATATTTATATATATTATATATATACTCTCTCTATATATTATATATAATATATATATAATAAATATATAATATATAATAAATACATAATATATTATATATAATGTATATATAACATATATATTATAATATATATAACATAATTATATATAAATATATATAATTATATAATATATAATATATAGAGAGCGTATATAATTGTGGCAATCAAATTCATAATTATCAGTATATAACTAATTTAAATCATGTTTCTATACTTTTATGATGTATTTGATACATCATAATAATGTGTACATCATAATAATGTGTATATGCAATATTTAACTCAACATTAAAAATGTATAATTTCTTAGATTTCTGTCTCTTTCCCTTTTCTTGTTAGTTGTAATTTTCACAAATGGCACCAATACCTTCTAGCATGTAAAACTAGAGAGTGTGATGACATATACATTTTTTTGAGTCAAATTTTAGGAAAGAAAGTTATGTTAAATTTCAAGAAATCTCCCAAAGCTGTTTCAATTTCCTGAAATTTCAATAATAACGTGTCATGAAAAATACATAAACTTGTCTGCAATTGTTTGTATGCCTGCACACAGATGTCTAGAAAACATTTAGATAGATGGATTTTGATGTGGAGAGTGATAGGGGAGGAGAATTTAGGGAATAAAGCTGGTATAAAGTAATATTTCTACACTTTCAGATTGGAGGTCTGTCTGCCAATGGCTGGGATGCTTCTTTCTTTTTAGAACTTTGCTTTATATAGGACTGTAAGATTCAAAGTGAGATTTTCTTCTTCAAACCCTTCTTAGTAACTAAATGAGAAATAATCTTGTAAAGCAATTAGAACCACCAAACTTGATATCCTAGCCAACCCAAAAAAAATAATTTCACATTGGCTTTCAAAATAAGCATAGCTAAAGATCACTCTGTTTAAAGTATCTTCATTACTGTTAATTTTCTTAATCCAAACTCAGGGCAATACAGTTGCAATGATGTCACATTTTTACATTATGGTAAACTGATCAGTTGCTGAATCTTATGAGGGGAATAAAACTGAGTTATTTGTTCTATATTATACCATAACATGAGGTTTGTTATAGAATTTTATAATACAACACCAGGAATAAAGTGCCCTAGGTCTTACTTTTAAGTGTTCAGTAAAGAGAATAATTTGTTCTGTGTGTGCTATTTTAATTCATAATTGCCCATTATTATTTATGGCTGCTTAATACATCCTCCTAACATCTTCAACAGAGAAGCAAAATGAAAACAGTGAAAATGTTTTTAAAAGTAGTCTGTTTCAGAAGTTAAATGAGGTTGGTGGACTCAAGTCACAAAGGTCTAATAGTCGTGCTTAATGATGGTGATAAAGCCATCATAAATACTGTAGAAAGGCCTGTATAAATGCAAAGTAGTATTTGGAGTGGTGACAGGAGAAAAACTGAATATACCTTTTACTTTAACATTTTATGTTTGACTTCTTTGTTCTTGCCTGACTTGACAATGTTACAACATCACAATATCTGGTTCTCTTTAGTCCTATTGACATCAACACCCCTGTGTATTTATGCTTATATGGCACACAGTTAATAGAAGGTCTGCCACAACTACTCTGCTATTAACATTGAGATTTTCGGAGACTGTGTGACCACCTTTTAACCCTGAGTTGTTTTTTGTTTCTTTAAAATAATGAAAGTTTTTGGAAGAAAAAATAGGATTGATGTCACTGCTGTTCCAGCCTCTAGTCCACTGTTATGACTTCAACATTGCAAGATGCTGAGGATTCAGTTGAGACAGAGAAGGTGTAGACTTTCCATTGATTGATGGAAAAAGACAGTCTCTAGAATGACCTTAAAAAGCCCAAGATTATTTAAAAAATACTTAACCTCCTAGATCTCAGATATGAAAAATCTTTTTTTTTTTGTTTTTCTAAAAGATGAAAGATAGTAGTAGTTAACTTTATGAGTGTATTTATAACCAATTTCAATGGAATTCATTTTCTTTGCACTTATTAAAATATGACACTGACTCAGGAGGGTGAGGCAGGAGGTTTTCTTGAGGCCAGGAGTTTGGGACCAGCCTGGGCAATGTAGGCAGTTGCCAAATCTAAAGGAGAAAAATAAAGATTAGGTGGGCATGGTGGTACATAGATGTAGTCCTAGCTACTCAGGAGGTTGAGGTGGGATAATAACTTGAGCTTAGGAGTTCGAGGCTACAGTGAGCTATGATCGTGCTACTGCATTCCAGCCTGGTAATCTCAAAAAATAAAAAAAGACATTTAAATAAAGTTATTCGAATTTTATCAGTATTTATGTTCTCAAACTGGGTTAATCATCTAGTGAATATAGCATGATACAGCCATCCCTTTAATTATATGGTTTATTACAATGACTGGCATCCTTTTTATCTGGCCCCTTCATACTCTTGTTTAAAACAATTATGGTTCTAATGGAGAAATAACCTCTGATTCTTGTTGTAATAACTGAGAAGTTCATAAAAAGGTGTCAAGAATATGGCTAATATATAATATTGGCAATTTGTAATACTTGATATAAAAGACTAAGTTGTTTTTCTTTGGCTATGAATGTATTGCCATGTTCTCCAAATTTAAAAACTGCAGATCACAGAGCAATTGACATCCATGTTACTTCCTGAAATAAATCTGATTTTGCATACAAGGTAGAAATTAAAAAGAAACCAAAGTGGGGAATATACTTCTCAAATGATTAGTACTGCTTCTTTGGTTCCATCTGGGATGATTTTGCTTATTATTGGCTTCAATAAGCACAAGAGATGTGCTGGATACTGAGCAAATCTGAGAGCCTAGATATGTCAAAATGAGACTATTATATACGGTCATTTGTTACCTTGCAAAAATGAGGTCAGCAGACATTTCCACATGCCAGTCAGTCACAATTTTGTGTTTTATAACCTCTGACTTTAGCACATTGTGTAGTGAGTAAGGTCACCAAGGATGCTCTACAACTAAATGTGTTTCCTGGATTACACATGTGGTTTTCAAATTAGTTCTTACTTTCTCAACTGATAAGGTACTTTTCAACATACTCTGAGACTCTCAATTTTTAACTTTGGATTTTTGACAACTGCTCACCTGAAACTCATTGAGGGAAAATAATGCCATGCTCTTTCAGGATATTCTCTTTTTTTTCTCTTCAGTCTGACTAAAAATGGTTTAGATGATAACAATATGTAAATAAATCTCTGAGAAGCGTCCCTTCTCCAAAGCCATTGTTTGAAGCTACTTATTTTGATACTGTCATGAAAAAGGCTCTAAGTAGCCCATAGGAAAAAGCAGGCAAAACATGGTGAATCAGAGGCTAAGGCATCCAGTGACAAAGAAAAGTATAAAAATACAATATGAGGGAAAGAAACTGTTGAAGAAACTCATCTATAGCAGTGTATTATTTACTGTCATCCCTATTTCTGTATCTTGTAACTATCTGTCCCAAATGCTGAAATTCGCCTTCCAATGGTTCTACTATAGATGGATTTGTCATGGCACTATACTCCTGCAGCTTTCCTCATATTCATGGAATTGTCACATTTGAACTTTTTTCTTTTTTGTTAACAAAAAATAAAATTTGGCAACAATGCAGGCGAGAATCTTTCTTAAAACTAGGCCTAATTTTATAGAACAAAGTGCTCCAGTTAGAAAACCTGAAATTACCTGAAGCAAATGTGTTCTTTCCTTTCTCCAGCCACCAGAGATTAGTCTGTTAATTTTTTTCTAAACAATTTGTGGATTTGCCAGAGATTCTTCATATTTTCAACAGAGAAAGATTCTCAATCATGCATTGATATGGTTTGACTGTGTTACCACCCAAATCTCATCTTGAATTGTAGCTCCCATAATTCCCTCGTGTTGTGGGAGGGACTCAGTGGGAGATCATTGAATCATGGGGGCAGCTCCCCCATACTGTTCTTGTGGTAGTGAATAAGTCTCACGAGAGCTGATGGTTTTATAAGGGGAATCCCCTTTTGCTTGGCTCTCATTCTCTCTTGCCACCACCATGTGAGACGTGCCTTTCACCTTCTGCCGTGATTGTGAGGCCACCCCAGCCAAGTGGAACTGTGAGTCCATTAAACCTCTTTCATTTGTAAATTGCTCAGTCTCGAGTACATCTTTATCAGAAGTGTGAAAACGAACTAATACATCTATTCTATGTGTTTTGTTTAAGGGTCTGAAAAGAGAAAATATGAGAAATTAGTTCTGGGAATGGGATGTGGCTATAACAAATACCCAAAAATGTGGGGATGGCATTGTAACTGAGTGATGGATAGAGGCTGAAAGAATTTGAGGTACATACTACAAAAAGTCTACATTGCTGTGAACAGTTTTTAAAGGCAATTCTCATGAATGCTTAGGGGGAAAAGTGGAAATCTGTAGAAAAATCCTCAATCTTTGAGAATACCTTAGTAATTTTGAACAGAGTGTTGGTAGAATTTTGAATTGAAAAGTTCAGCCATAGGAGGTCTCAGACAGAAATGAGGAAGTTGTCATTGGAAGCTGGACCTTTATGATAAAGTGGCAAATAAATTGGTTGAATTGTGTCTGTGTCCTAGTGTTTGTGAAAGGTAGAAATTGAGAGCAATGAAACTGGATAGTTAGCTGAGAAAATATCTAAACAAAATGTTAAAGATGAAGCTTGGCTTCTGCTATGGTCTGAAGATTTGTGTCCTTCCAAAATTCTTGTTCACATCTAATTCACATTGTGGTGATATTAAAACATGGTGACTTTAGGAGGTGATTGGGTGTCATTGGCCCCATCCTCATAAATAGAATCAGTTTCTTATTAAAAAAGATTTGAGGCTTCCTCTACTTCTGCCATGTGAGGATGCAACAAGAAAGAGCTGTCTTGAAACAGAGAACAAACCCTCACTAGACACGAAATCTGTGGATGCTTTGGCCTTTGCAGCCTCCAGAACTGTGAGCAATAAATTTCTGTTGTTTGTAAATTAACCAGTCTATGGTATTTTGTTGTACCATCCCAAACAAACTAAGGCGACTTCTCACTGCTGATTATAGTAAAATGTTAGAAGAGGTACATGATTTTAAGACGGAATTGTCAATTAAAAGGGCATCAAAACTTAAAGGCTTGGCAAAACTATTAGCCTATCCATAATGTAAAGGATAACACCTGTTCAAGAGAAAACACTAAGGCTATGGCTGAAGGAGTATTTGGCAAGGAGCTTAGTCAGCCTTCCCAACAGAAGACAAGAGCTATTGTTCAATGGAAGAATGCAAAGGAAGGGCTCGTGCCCGTTGAGTCTTGGCATAAACTGCCTGGTATAACTTCACATAAAGGGTTTAGCTCCCCACACTCTCTGGCTGTTTCAGGTGCAGCTGTGGCAGGGTGCAGTGGCTGCCTTTCTAGAGGGCATAACTTTGGTAGAGTTTGTACAGCACCATCTCCACTTACCATACATACCTAGAGAAGCCTAGGGGCATGGCTGCCTCAACTTATATTTCAAAGGAAAGGAACAATTTCCTGTGGATCAGTGAGGATGGGTCCCCACCAAAGAGCTACCATGGCACCAAGGCAGCCTGGGGCCTTGGGGACTCAACTTTTGCCTGACAAAGCTGCAGTAGGAGGACTACTGCCCAATTAAGTTCTCAAGGCAGGTCCCCTTCCCCAATGTGTTCGGGTAGGGACCTCTGCCTCAGTGGTCCTGGAAGACAGAGCATGGAGCCAAAGATTATTCTAAGCCTTAAGGACTAATGGGGTTTGCTCCATTGGGTTTTGGACTTGTTCAAAACCTATTAATCCTTTGTTTTTTTCTTATTTTTCTCTTTCAGAATGGAAATATCTATCCTATGCTGATTCCACCATTGAATTCTCTTTGATTTCACATGTTCAGAGCTGGAGAGCAGTTTGCCTCCGAATAAATCATACCTTGAGTCTCACTCATAGCTAATTTAGAGATATTTCGATGAGACATTAGACTTTTTAGTTGATGCTGGAATGAGTTAAAACTTTCTGGGCTTTGGGGATGTAGTAAATGTATTTTACCTGTGAGAAGAACATGAGTTTTGGAGGATGATTATTTCATAAATGTGAAGCTCTTATAATGGGATTAGTGCTGCTATAAAAGAGGCCCTCACCCCTTTTGCCATGTGAAGACACAACCTAAAGACAGCCATCTATGAGCCAGGAAACACTGTCACCAAACACCACATCTGTGGGCCTACTAATCTCTCAGACATCCTAGTCTCGAGAACTGTGAGAAATAAATTTCTGTTGTTTATAAGCCACCCAATCTGTAGTATTTTTGTGGTTAACAGTCTGAATAGACTCAGACAAATAGCTACTGACACTTTGATGCATTTTTAAATGTATGGAATTAGATATTGATGTTATTAGCTAGGGATTCTGCACATTTCAACACAGAGAATCTTAATTTCACAATTATGTGTACCACTTCTTTACAGCCATTGACCTTTCAGTGTTCATTTGGGGAAAAATGATAAATCTAATAGGAATCCAGCAATAATTTTGAATACATTTGCATTTCATTACATTCATTTGAAAAATATGAGATCCAAAACATATTATTTGTTCTACAGGTAGTCCATGCACATATCCATATGGATTCACAGACCCTTGCAGTAGCTTTCACCTTACTCTATGATTCTATGCTTTAGCAATATGAAAATAGCTCACTCTTTTTAACTAGTAGATGAAGCCACCTCTTTCTCTGTCCCTGTTTTTCCTCTCTATCTTTGTCTCTCTCTCATTCTCTTTCTCTCTCTCTTTTTCTCCGTCTCTTACATGCACACACACACACACACACACACACACACAGAGCCTCCCATATCTTTGGTTGGCTATTCCCGTTAATGTTTCAGGTCACAACTTCAGATAAGTTTCTGCAGGAATTCTTTTCTTCATGACTGAACTTTGTGCCTCCTCTAAGCAATGTTTGGGGCAAACTGTGTTTGTATCTGCTTTTTACCAAAAGATAAGCAACCCAATGTTAAAACTTTATCTACACAATTGTATTAAGTGTTCATAATGTGTATTAAGTGAAGTAATGAATGAATCAACTTTTCTTGTCAACTGCCAAAATCAATAGACTCTGAGCTATTGCTATAACTTAATAAACGTACTTCTAACTTGAATTTGACAAAAGGAACCTCTTCTTTTCCCATATTCCTAATTTTTAAGCTATCCATAAAAATAATTTTAAATATCTATCATCTTGCACATCTACGTGTTTCCAGTATCTTCCTTCAAAATATTATTTTTTTGTAACATATTTCTTAGTAAAAATTGACAGTATAGCACACTTTCTTCCTTTTTTCAGCAATAGTAATAAATGTTTGCTAAGTTATTCATGCATGAGAATGTATTATGCAGTCATGGAAATATTAAGTTAACTGTTTTGCCAAGCACCACACTTTAACCCACTGAGCTTACCTAAAATCCAGAAATTAGCATGTAGAGGTTACTTTATGTATTATATTTAAATTGATTCTAGAGGAAAGTGTATTCACTTATTCATCTAAATGTAAATAACATCCAATCAGAAAAACTTTTATCTAGAGAAGCCAGAGAAATCTGACAAAATAGTGTTTTCTTTTTTTTTTTTTTTGCTTATTTTATTTTGTACATATTTCCCAGACTAAAGTTAATGTTGTAATGGTCCATTAGTTTTCTTCACCTTCTTTAATATTTTCTTGGAAGAAATAATAAAACACAAGCACCCTAAAAAGTTTATTATATATGGCTCATTTCGTTATATATTATATTAGCTCTAATATATCATCAAAGCAACTGCTTTGTTGAATTTATATTTTTGAAGTTGTTATTCAAAGGGTAATGATTTGGCAGGGAAATATCCATATTTTCCCCATGCAAAGTAATGATTTTCTAATAAGCTGGGCATGGTGCATGGGTCTGTAGTCCCAGCTACTCCCAAGGCTGAGACAGGAGGATGGCTTGGGCCCAGGATTTGAGTCCAGCGTTGGGTAACATAGTGAGATCCTGTTTCAAAAATAATAATAATGATGATTTTCTAGATGAAAACTTCACAAAAACCTTCATATATGTATTATAGAATATATTCTATATGTTGAAATCTTCCATCGAAACAATTTCAAATTTAATTTTCATTAAGGTCCAAATCTTGATATTGAACATATTAATTATTGTGTAATTAAATGTCTATGAAGAAAATTAAAAATACCTTATTAGATTTATCTGTGCTCTGATTAAACTACTGCAAAGGGCATAATCAAGTTTAAAAATAAACTTAAGCTTGCTACATATATTTTTACCCTAATGTTCAGAAAGACATTTGGAAACTAATGGAACTAAATTTTATTTCAATTACTTATTACTTTATCCATGCTATGATTATAAATGAGTTCAAAATATGTAGATTTGAAAAAGATTATCCAAGTGGTAAAGAGAGTCAACATTTTTTTTTCCTCAAGGATCCAAGCCCAACTCCTACTAATAAGACTCAAAATTGTATCAAATATTCAACATGTATGCTAAAGTGATTGGTATGAAGTGTAGTCTTGTTGTGTTTTTTTATATTGAGAAAATATACAGTTTTCTGTGTACGAAGTTAGTTATTTTCACAGAGTGCTCCTTTTCTCAGAAGACTCTGTCCACCCAAAAATCCTCAAATGTTTTAAAATTGATAAATAAAATCTATTTGAATTCTAACTAGCTAATGTTACAACTTGTTGCATGCTTTAAAACATAATACCATTCTTTGATTTTATTTTATAGATCCATTTGAGTATCTCTTACACAATGTTAATTTTCAAGATGATTTTTATACACTGAAATGTCTTAAGCTGGGCGTAGTGGCTCATGCCTGTAATCCTAGCATATTGGGAGGCCAAAGCAGGCAGATCACTTAAAATCAGGAGTTCGAGGCCAGCCTGGCCAACATGATGAAACCCCATCTCTACTAAAAATACAAAAATTAGCCGGGCGTGGTGGCGTGCACCTGTAGTTCCAGCTACTGGGGAGGCTGAGGCACGAGAATTGCTTCAACCTGGGAGACGGAGGTTGCAATGAGCCAAGATCACTCCACTGCACTCCAGCCTGGGCAACAGAGCAAGATTCTGTCTCAAAAAAAAAAAAAAAGAAAAGAAAAAAAATCTTAGGCAGATTTAGTGACATTAGAAATGCTCAAGTATTTCATTCCAACTTTATTATAGCATGCTAACTAACTTCAAACATTTTAACTCCATGGACATTTTCTTTTCCATGCTTTGACCCAACCTGGCCATCTGGTTGGCAAGTAAATGAAACCGATGGTAGAAATCTTATATGTGATGCTTAGGCAAAAACAATGAAGGTAAGTGTTTATAGTGGGAAGGACTGATCAAATATTTGAGCTTAGAACCCCTCGATTTTAATACGCTCCCTGCTGTAAATAAGAAAATTAATAAATCTTTGAATACTTCTAACCTCACCTTCTTGAGGCTTCATCTGCCAATGCAACTTAAACTTCTTGGATCAATAATTGTAGATATTGCAACAAAACTGATTTTTTATTTTCTGTTTATACACTCCTGTAGGTATCTCTTTTTCATGACTTTTAACATAGAAGAAAACAAATTAGCAAGGAGAGTTGAATTACTATAAATTTATACATTTACATTTTAGCTGAGATGTGAAATATATTGTGATTTTTTAAAAAGACACTTTCAAAGAAAGATATTTGCTGACCATATCAGTCATTGAATAAGAAAATTCATATTTTATACAAAAAATGATAAATTTATTACCAACATTTATAATACAATATTCCAAATGTGTACAAATATATGCATAATAAGACACAAAATCACATACTAACTCCTAAATTTTTCCTCACATCATAATTTTTTTTGGTCACATTTACTTTTCAACTTTTTTTTTTGAGACGGAGTTTTGCTCTTGTTGCCCAAACTGGAGTGCAATGGCATGATCTCAGCTCACTGCAACCTCTGCCTCCCAGATTCAAGCGATTCTCCTGCCTCAGCCTCCCTAGTAGCTGGGATTACTGGCATGTGCCACCACACCTGACTAATTTTGTATTTTTAGTAGAGACAAAATGTTGGTCATGCTGGTCTCGATCTCCCGACCTCAGGTGATTTGCCCTCCTCGGCTTCCCAAAGTGCTGAGATTACAGGTGTGAGCCACCACACCCAGCAGAACATTTTGTTAAAGACATAAAACAATACAGATCAGCTTGAGCCTATTCCCCTGTTTATTTTTCTTCAATTTCATTTGCCTCTGTTCTTTCCTCCATCTCCCCTAATAGGTACTAATAATTATGAATTTGGTAGTCTTCCCCCCAATGATAATTAATTTGCATGTGTAAGTAATATTTAATATTGTCTTACATGTTTTTGAACTTTTATAAATGATCTCCATTTGATTATATTATTGAGCTACTTTCCTGTTTGTGCAACTTTAACTTCTGAGATCTGGTTTATTCCTGTTGATACATGTATCATTTAAATAGTCATAAAATATTACAATTGCAAATAATTAAATTCATTTTAATTGTCATAAAATATTCTATTTTATGAGTATACCATAGTTTCAGATCTCTTGTGTGGTAAGATATTTAGGTTGTTTACAAATATTACAAAAAACATTTCAATAAATATTGTGTACATGTCTTCTCATGCACATGTGAAAGAATTATTGGGTGTAGACTAAGAGCACACTCAAAACTTCTGAGTATGGCCAAATTGCTCCATAAAGTGATTTTACCAGTTGCAATCCCACTAGGCTGCATAAAAGCAAGCAATTTGCTGAGTGTGTAATGATGTCTTCTTGTAGTTTTAATATTTATTTTCCTCATTACAAATGTGCTTGAGTATATTTTTACATACTTATTGAATATTTAGTTTTTTCTCTTTGTGAACTGCTCATTTTTCCTAATTGTTTTCCTTCTTTGTAGGTTTTTTTTTTCTCTCTTTCAAAAATCAAAATATGTAGTATGACAAAAAAAAATTTTGTTTTTGTGTGAATTTACATACAGAAAAAAATCTTACATAATAGTTTCTCAACCTGATTGTCTTTTAGAGAATCAATCGTGATTATTTTATTTAAAAAAAAACACAATCTAAAGAAAAAATTCAAAGCGTGCTGCAGTTTTTCCACTAAAGATGCTGATGAAATTTAGAGCTGTTCTAGACACATATAAAAGTTAAACAATCATATTCTATGTAATTATTTGAACACCCAATGTTGCAAGGTACAAGTATCAATAATATTCTTAAAAAGTTTTATATAAATTATGTAATAGAAAAAAATAAGTTGGCCACAGAGAAAGAAAGCTGAGAAGGTGACATTTAAGGCATGTCACTGACATGGATTTGAAAATAATTAAAGGACTTGGTTTGAAAGAAAGTAATGGTGTGGGCATTTCAGGCAAGCAAACTGCTGAAATAAAGGCTCAGATGTAAGATGCCCCCATGTGTAGGGGCAGTGCAGAGCATAGCAATTAACGAGACCAAGTGTTTAGATTTAAGAAGGTGGTTATTGAAGTCAAATCAATCTATGCATTTAATAATATAGCATCTCTGCATAAAATCATGATACTGTCCATTTCTATAAGATAAAAACTGAGAGTCCTTCATGTGGTACGCAAGGTCCTTCAACTTCTCAATTCTATCCACATTTATTTTCAGATTCATCTTCCACAATTTCTTCATCCATAGTCTACTTGCTAGCCACTGAAGCCTTGTGAATTTTCTTGAATTCATTATTTCTGAGATAACTTTCATCACGCCACCCACAAGCCCTCATCCCTATCCATACCTCAGTTTTTCTAAGTATTATCACCTCTGTGAGTCCTTGGACAGTTCCTCCCCATCTTGCTCTCTACGCAATTTTCACAAGTTCATTACCTTTTTTTTTTAACCTTATACATGTATGTTTATCAGCATTTCCCCTCTACCCAGTGTATTTCTTATCTTTCCTCTAAGTATCTTTTCCTCTGTCCTCAGGAGTTCTTTGAAAACAGGATTTATGTATTTGTTTCTAAAAGTATTCCATTCTTGCAGCATAGGAACTGCAGCAGATTATTTGATCAGTGACTGTTTCTAACTGGAAGACCGTAGAGGTCTTAAGACCAGAATAAGACACATGCGATGGCAAATCAGCTGTGGACGATTCCTCGTATATTGGTTACTCTGCCTTCTCTGAATTCCACATCTCAGGCTTATAGTTTATTGGATAAGAGATCAGGACAAATGAACCACAGGCAATTATCTATAAATGAGCCAGCTGCGAGGTCCGAAAATAATATCCAACAAATATGCATGAAATTGGGAAATTACTAAGGGAGACAATCAGTGGAGGTTTGTGTTTTGTGTTTGGAATATGTGAAAGTAATCTTTAATAGGAAGAGACCAGGGAGAAAGGAATCAAAATAGATGTGCTGAGTAAGAGTAATGGAAAAGTTACCCTTGTACCCTGAAAGACGTTTGAATTTTTCATGAGACCTGTTGAAATGCTCTCCTGGTCTCTTATTTCTTTTCATTTGGTAATAAATAATATTTCACTTAGAATACTATTTTATCACCTGTGCTAACCAGAATGACTTGGCCACTTTCACCTTCATTTTAAAAGAACCCAGATAATATGAATAAACAAACCAAATGATGTAGAAAAGAAAAAATAATCCTATCTTCTGAGAACAGAAACGAGATCTAAAGTTTTTATAAGATTTAATAATCAAAATGAGCCCATTGTAATACCCTCCTGCCTTGTTAAAATAGTTACAACAAAGATTGTCTGGCTATTTTATTAATTTTGAAAACTATAAAATAATTTTGTAGAATGTTATTTATTAATTTCCTCTTCTCTCAACTAGAAACTGGATATTATAAATTAGGTTTAAAATATTTGCACATGTCCTCTTCAAGGATTTGATCATTTAAGATCAAAGCCAAGAGTAAGTCTGAAACTTTGAAAGGAATGCAATTATTTTTTCACAGCTGTTTGCTATTTCACACCTGCAAAAACAATAATATTTCAGCAAAAATATTTTTAAAGTAAAGAAAGAGTTTAACTTGTGATTGAGGGCATGTGTGGGTAAGGCTAAGCTACTTTTGTTAGCTGGTGAAACTAATCCCTCCCTTTCTTGGATCATGAAGGGTCTCTACAGATGGTTAGGAATTTCTATATCATGATGTTTTGTTTGCTTGCTTTAATCAAGGTTGCCATAAGAAGGAAATAATTCCTTGGATAGAATTACCGATAATACTTTCGTAAAATGACACAATTTTAGCAAATGATTAAGACATACATTCAGTTAGACAATTAAATAATGTGGTGCTTCTGTCTACTTTGTTTTCTTAGTAAAGATTAATATCACTCTTGGTTGGGTGTGATGGCTCATGCCTGTAACCTCAGCACTTTGGGAGTCCGAGGCGAGTGGATCACCTGAGGTCAGGAGTTCAAGACCAGCCTAGCCAACAGGATGAAATCCTGTCTCTACTAAAAATACAAAAATTAGCCAGGCGTGGTGGTGGGTGCCTGTAATTCCAGCTACTTCAGGAGGTTGAAGCAGGAGAATAGTTTGAACTCGGGAGGCGGAGGTTGCAGTGAGCTGAGATTGTGTCACTGTACTCCAGCCTGGGTGACGAGTGAAACTCTGTCTCAAAAAACAAACAAATAAACACACGCACACACACAAAGATTAATATCACTCTCTAGTTGCATGTATCTTTGGAGTCAGATTTCACATTTGGTTCCTGATGTTCTTTATTTGTTTTGTCCTGGTTTACTCCATCTTCTGTTGCCTTGTTCTACATGATTGCACCTTAATTCTTGTTTTAGTCTTTGTGTTGGTTGTGTGAATATCTTCTTTCATTTGTATCTTGCTTCTTATTAAGAAACAGTTACATTACCCTTTATTTCAGAAACAAGCAAATATACAATGAACAGGCAAATAATCAAACAAATAAAAATCCCAAACAAATGTGTGTTAGTTATTGTTTCTGCTGGGCTTTTATGCTCTCTTACTTTCTGTATCGATTGACTGATTGATGTTTTGCCAGCATCAAAAGGAGGCCAAATTGAAGAGTGGTTGAAGTCCCTCACTTTGTGAAGACTGAATTGATTGCTTTTGTATTGGCTAATTCAAAGCTGGAAATAAATTTTAATGGCATACTGATATTTTATTAAGAAAAAGAGAGCTTCTAGGAGTAGTTCCCATTGCAAGATTGATCCCTAATATTCATTCCTCGTTTGCCATATTTATTTTTAATCTCTCACTTGGTCAGGGAATGACTATTGGACTAAGCAGTTAAAAGTAAAAGTGAAAGCCCAGGGACTGGTGTGGCACTTGGGACATAAAATCTAGTCCCAGAGGAGACAGTTGAGATTGTCTTTGAGAAAACTCTGGCAAAATTTAGGAGTGTGTTTGGTTGCTTTCTGTGTGTGCTGGATCCAGCAGAGAGTGCAATGATAGTCAATACAGGTACGTGTGTAGTTACAGGATTGGTCTAATGGTTTGCACACAGACAAACTTATGTCATACAAATTTGGCTTATGAATAAATTATGTAATGTATTCTCTGCCTTCCACTCAGTAAACCTCTACTGATTTTTTTCCTTTTGGAACCTTATTTCATCTATGAGGAAATTACTTCTTCTGTCAATCTCCTCTCCTTAGCTGATTTGCTGTGATACCATATCATGCTTTCCACGGGAGAAATTCTTTGTTAGAAACCTGGGCTGAACTATGCTTATGGCATATGCTTTCATATTGAAGAGACGCTTCAGCACCTGCAAGCTTCTCTCTGTATGTGGCAAGCAGGTTTATCCACAGGTAATAGGATGTTAGAATGGCTCTTTCCTGTCTCAAGTTCAGCTGTACAACAGCAGATATTAGAATGGAGTGTAAGAAAAATGTTCCCATGTAAATTAAGAGGAAATGGTTTAAGAAACTTTAGCTAGCTTAGGGTTCTGTAAGAGGAGTGGCTGGAATATGGAGGAGATTTATTGGCAGAGAGGAGTCCCAGAGTGGCATGGAAGAATGGCGCTACCTTCTTGCCGATAGGCAATGGAACTACTTGGAAACTTTGACCTGCCTGCTGCAATTGGAAGAGATGAAAAATTTGGGCTTGATAAAAATAAGATGGCTGAAGCAGAATGTAAACCGGAGAATGATTTGATTCACGAAATTCATAGGACTGGCTTTAGTAGCAGAAGTAAGGAGTGTGGTCACATCTTAGAGTCCATCTCTATTAGCTTACCTTGGTAACAGATGAGTAAGTGTTTTGCACAGGCCAGATTTGAAACCAGAAAGAGAGAGAGAGAAGAGAGAAGTAACTGGTGAGGTTACCTCTTGGCTTGGGGTTGTCTTGGCTTTTATTTCCTAGGACTCCAGAGGGACAAGGAGTCCTCTCTTGAAGGAATCTGCGTATAAATTGCTGAATACACAGAAGGTATAGAAGGATTTGTAAATGACCACCAGGATGGGAGTGCAACCTTCCTGGTCAAGAGAGTTTGGGAAAGAATTGTCTAGTAGGCTCCACCCAGGAGAAAGTGTAGCTTTATTCATCTGCCAAGCACAGAAATGGCCAAACTATTCAGATAAGCAAGAACTGTCCTGAACTTATAGCACCTTCTTCTTCCACTGACTTGGAGTTGAGAGTCAACAAAATGATAACAAAAAACCACCGAGGAAAGAGTGAAAGAGGAAAGATATAAAGAATGACCATTTCCCCATTCTAGGTGGAGCAAACTTGAAAAGGTCTCCTTTTCAAAGGGGAAAAATTTTAACTGGAAGTCAGATTCTGTGTTTTAACTTATATTTGTCATTGTTCATTCTAACTTCACAATTGAAATTGTGTGAAATGTAAATTATCATAGGACCTGTTATTCCTAAGGATAAAGGAAAAGACACAGGTACACCAAAATTTTTATCCAGGGGCAGATAAAAATTATTCACATTGAAAAAATGTTAATAAGTGGAATGAGGGTGCTGGGGACACACAAGTAAAATTGTGTTTTGTTTACTTTGCAAGTTGTATATATTCTTGGCTTAATTTTGTTTTACTGGAATTTTTTTAACCTTTTCCTTTTAGTTTTAGGGTTAATGAAATATATTTTCAGTTAGAAAAGCTGGGTAAAGATTTTATGAAGTTTATTGGTTCCTAAAATTTACTCTTACATTATTATTTTAGGTGATTTGGAAGTTCTCTATTCCTTCTATGACTCTCCAGTTTTCCAAGTTTATGTTTTTCATTTTGTATCTTGCAGAACTATAGAGGTTGCATATACTGTCATCATTCTGGACTCATTTGACATTCAAAATAACTCTGTATAGTTGCAAGACAAACATCATTGTGTCTATTTTAGAAAAAAGCAGACCAACGTTTACAGAAGTAAAATAATTGCTGAAATTTATACTGTTAATAAATGTCAGGGCCAAGATTACAAGTCAGTAATTACAGTTTCATAATTTCAGAATCTGTATTTCAGTATTCGTATAAGTCTTCTATTTTTACAGGTGATAACAATCCATAACAGATAACAATTTCTGAGCATTTCTCTTTTTTTTGAGATGGAGTCTCACTCTGTCACCCAGGCTGGAGTGCAATGGCAAGATCTCGGCTCACTTCAACTTCCACCTCCCTATTTCAAGCGATTCTCCTGCCTTGGCTTCCTGAGTAGCTGGGATTACAGGTGCCTGCCACCACACCTAGCTAATTTTTGTATTTTTAGTAGAGACGGATTTCACCATGTTGGCCAGGCTGGTCTTGAACTCCTGACCTCAGGTTATTCCACCTGCCTTGGCCTCCCAAAGTGCTGGGATTACAGGCATGAGCCACCGCGCCCGGCCTGAGCATTTCTTATGTAACAGACCTTCTAGTAAGTGCTATTTATTATCTCTCTTGCTTTTAGTAACAGTTCTATGAGGTAGGGATAACTGTACCAATTTGTACATGAGAAAACTGAGACTTTGATAGGTGTAGGGATTTAACCAAGATCATGCACTAGATAATGATTAGCACTGAGAAAACTTAAACCAAGGCAATCTAACTTTAGACCTGAATAATTAACTACTGCACTCCCATATTTTTTTACATGAATACACTTAGTAAGTGTATGTATATTAGTTTGTCCTCATGCTGCTAATAAAGACATACCTGAGACCGGGTAACTTATAAAGAAAAGAGGTTTAGTTGATTCACAGTTTCACATGGCTGGGGAGGCCTCAGGAAACTTACAATCATGACGGAAGGCAACTCTTCACCAGGCGGCAGGAAAGAGAATGAGTGTGGAGGGAAGGGGGTTGCGTCTTATAAAACCATCAGATCTCCCGAGAACTCACTCACTATCATGAGAACAGCATGGGGGAAACTGCCCCCATGATTCAGTTATTTCCACCGACCCTGCCCTTGACAAGTGGGGATTATTAGAGTTCAAGGTGAGATTTGGATGGGAACACGGAGCCAAACCATATCAATATGGTTTTGCATGTATTGCTGAATTTTATATTATAGAAATCTAAAGTGTGTATAATTCTAAGCAAACTGCTGCTACTAAACTACTGCTTTTTTTAGAGAGGTGAAAAGTACACTTGACCTGAATTTAAAGCATTAAGTTGCAATGTCTGCCTTGGTTTTAGACAATTATGACATAAAGCATGTTGCAAAATTCCTCAGTATTTGTTTTCCTCTATAGCTGTTATACAGAAACTATAATTAATCTCACTACACAACTTTAAAATATTATGCATAAATTCACATAGTAAGCATGGATTAATTACTGAGGAAAAGAAGTGTGTCTCTGTGTGTGTGTGTATATATATACACAGTTCTATACATTTATATATATATTGGATGCCATTAGTTCCCGTAGTAGTAATGAGGCAGCCATTTATTTCTCATTATCAAGGTTGATGATTAGCTGGCATGCACAGTAGCTGGCATCTATATGGTGTCCCTGCTGTACCATTTAAAAAATATTTTCTATGTATACTTGCCTCTAATAATCTCCAATCACAGAGTTCCATGTATGTCAAAAACAGTAACATATTAGCACATGGCACTTAAAAAAGAGCTAAATGTTAAATTGGAATAATATCTTATGTATTGACATTCATTTCAATATGCTAAATGTTATAGAGCCAAAACTTCCATAGACTAAGCATCGGCACTCTTAATCTATTATTTTTACACCAAATTCTGACTGTGATATTCCAGCCAATGAATGATCATTTTGCGTCATCAAATGGTACTGCTGCCTGCTACCTTCTTTGTACAGCAGCATTTGTGAAATTATTTGAATATTCTATTGCATTTTATGTTATTACTTATCAAATGAGTGGAAATGGGAAACTGATATAAAACTTACATCTCATAAATTTAATTCCTTTGAGGCAAAGTTACAAATTATTATCATGCTTCAGGCGATAAATCTTAAAATTCCTTGTCTTAAACTAGTTGGTATTTCATAGTTAAAGAAAATAATAAAGGAAGTGCATGCATAAAATAATAGAAACCTTTGATGAATACATTGTTTAAAAGTCAAGATATATTTAGGAAATTTATTATTTTGTATTTTATAAATTTTAAGATACCACTCATTGTAAGATGAACTATCAATTAAAAAGTATCTAACAAAGAATATACAGTCCTGTATTCAAAGTAGAAAAATCTATTCAAAATGTACACTGATTTTAGAAATGCTGAAATGCGGTTTTAGAATCGGATAAGTATATCATTATTTTTAATATTGAAAAATGTTTTTTCTAGCTTTCTTATATTTGACTCTGATATGCATTTAGAAATATATTATTTATAAAAGTTATGATAAAATTTAGATCTATTTTCTTAATACATAAAAGCTCATTTAATAGTGTGTAATGCTTGTTAATAACAGAAAACATTGGTATAATGGATATACTCTAATTTGTTTCTTTGTTTGTTTACGGCTCATAATAACAAAGATGTGATGTTTTTGTAATATATTTTGACTGTCAGACCACATTTCTGTGTTTAGCTTCAGTGAAGCAGAAACTAACAAGTAAGAATAATCTTCTATATGCTGTCTTAGAGACTTTTGTAGAGTGCCTCTCCAAGTGAAACCTGTATTCTTTATAATATTTAACATCATTTTTAAATTAAATTAATATATGTGTGCTCCTAAAACAAGAATCAATAGTGGCAAATGTGCTGTGGGCTCTTCTCTTTTATACTAATAATTATTCCTTTGCATCTTTACTTTTGTCTTTTTTCTCTTTCTTATCAAGATTGCTTCACTACCTATTAGTGGCTAGAAATTCTAGCAGCATATTTTGCAAAAAAAAACTCAGTTATGAAAAAGAGGTGTAAAATATTTTGGATCAGACTATTTAGTCAAAATCATGATTGTTTACATTTGCTAAGGAGTTGACTTGAAGATGACTCTTATTTTTTTCCTCTGTGAATCCTTCCTAAATATTAACACTAATGATTGTTTTTAAAGATGCAAAGATGAAAAAGCAGTCATTTGTGGTATTAAGTTTCTGATTGGTTAATAGATGACTTTTCCACACCTAATTTAATTACTACTTTAAGTAGATGATTATACAGAGAAAAGTTACTTTTATTTCAGTACGAAGAATAGAAATGCAAATGTGAGGAGCGATAAGATTCGGCAAGAAACATAAATTTTTGCCACCTAGAGTGTTTTCTTAGGTATAACTTCCCAACATACAGTTGGGTCTGGAATTGAAATGTGGCTTATAATAGATATATCATTTTCAGGGTCATCAACATTCATGGAAGAAAGTGCCTCAGTAGTATTTGTGAAATGATCAAGTTGCATATACAGAAGAAGAATAAAGGAATATGGCTAGATCCATGGGAAACTTCTATTATTTTCCTATTTTCTACACCTAATTCAATTGCTTCAGTTTTGGCCCAACCATCTCCTGAATTAACTGTATACTTTCTACTCTGTCTTTCTGCATCTTGTCATTCTCTTCTCTAGTTCATTTTCCACATGACCTCTGTATTGACATATTAAAAGTAGATCACTTTTCATATCACAAACCTAAATAAATCTTTGTTTCCTTTTTATTCACAGAAGAAAGCACACTCATCCTAGTACTTGGTATCTTTCATTGTTTGGCTGAAAGTTGTATTGGCTGTGATTCCAGATATAACCATAGAATCTGAATTAAAATTGATTTTTCTCTTATTCTCTCATAATTGTTTATTACCATTTTCTTATAGCTCTTTTAAAATCTTAATTGTATGGCCATGCAGATGTCTGATTGTTGGGGAATAAATCATGAAGGGAAGAAATTCATTCTAAGTAATCAACTAATACAGGCTTTTCATATAATAGATACTCAATTATTTACTTTTTGGTTTGATTTGATAAAAATTATATAACTTTGGATGTTTGGTACTTGGTGGTTCTCATACAACAAAATTTCAATTTTAAAAAAGTAGTCTGATTTTCTAGAAATATCTTATTTGCCTTCTCTATCTGTCCCACAGTTGTAGATTTCCACTATTCTTCATTATTCTATCATAATTCAAAGGTATGTCTTTAGCTTTTTATTTTATGTACTTTATTAGGTCTCTGTATAAATCTGGAACATAGAAACAGAATATTTATATCTTGTGCTTGCAATTATGTATTACTATAAGCAATTAAATGTTTATTTTCATGTTTCATAATTATTGCTCTTGACTTGCTTAGGAAGCACTGTATATGAATAGGCCAAACCTAAAAAAGCAAAACCTTCTCCAACCCTGAGTACATCAGTAGCTTTCTGCCTTCATAAAATAAATTTGTGAATTTTAGTTTCTAAAACTATATCCATGGTAAACACATAATTAGGTTGAATGTAAGCAAAATACAGTTACTTATAGTTTACTTTCATTTTTATTTTGGATTTTGGTTTCTTAAGAATAATGGAATTTGACTGATCATTATTTTTTCCCTAGAATATATTTGACACCACATATTTGCTCAAATAAATCACACTCCCATCTTAATTTATTTATTTGTAACAAAAACATGCCAGGGAATAGGCGGACAAAATATGCATTATTATTATATTTTTATACTAACAAGCTCTAGAGAGCCATATAAGCTATGGCTTTTCTTATTTCTGCTGTCAGTTATCCTATACCTGACAGTATCTGAAAACATACATATTTGTGATTCAAATTATAAAAATATAGTTGAAGATAAAGGAAAAATGGGAGGGAGAAAACAAGGATGAAAAAGCCATTTGATAGTAAGATTAAAACATTTATTTCTGTTGCATGTAGGTGTTTATTTATTAAAGAATAAAACATGTATCTACTTGAATAAGCAGCACACAAGGAGAGAGAATAAAATATAGGATTTGCCACTTCACTGCTCTTTCCATTCTTAAAAGTATAGGATTTCATAAATTTCATATGCAGTTGCATTTTTAGACTTTTATAATACATGTGAAATTTTTTTTAAGTTTTGTTAAAGGGGATTAAGAGTTCTATACATAATAGTCTAGATAATTTAATCACAAGCCGTATTTTATTTTGATTATGTAATGCCAGAATTATTCCATTTTTAGGGAAATTAGAGCTATTCTTACACATCTTATTACTGTATGTTTGCATACTATCAGCACCACCCATCACCACATTCAATAAGCAACATGAGGATAGTGAATCAGTAATAATTATGTTCTGTTTTCTTCTGAAATTCTACCCATGAATCAGTTAATTTATATGGAGATCTGGTAAGCTCACCATGCCATTTGTACTTCTTAATCCTTCTTTTATTAGCCATACTTATGAGAATATTATACCATTATTTTCCTACAAGCCTCAAGGCTCAACTAATTTGTATAGTCAAAAATATTTTCAAGTGGCCTTCCTTTCTGACTGAAGAATTATTCAAACTCTGTGTCTCAGTTTGACTGAATCTGTCTCATTATTTGTATGTGTACACTTTATTCTGTAGGTAAGAATAAGCACTAAGGAAAGCAAGGTCTTAACAGGTCTTGAAATGTGTTGTGTATATCAGTGGTTCTTGGTCTTTATCCATCAATGCTATGGCTACCCCCTCTCAAAGGCTGGAGTAATTTTTTATAGTCATTTATTCACATTATTTTTATAAAGACAAGGTTGATTTATGATGGAGGCGAGAAAGAGATTGTGCCTTCTAAACTCTGAAATTCTGGCAATTAATCTAACAGTTGTGGAAGATTTCTAGCCTTACATGGCAACAATAAAAAGAGTATTTGGAAAGCAAATCTATGCCCATTGATTATTAATTTATGTCTCCCACCTCCCCCTGGCACACAGTAAGCCTCTAACATTGAAATTCCATTTTGATTGATATTTCTGAGATGTTAAATTTACAGAGTTTAGTTATTCCAGCTCTGCTCTTTGTGTCCCAATTTTATCAAAACTTCAAAGTTTAAATGAGCACTTAAAACACCATTTTATTCTTTTGCCAAATTCTTTATTGTGTAGATTGAAAGAAATTTAAATTCTGAATCTCAGTAAAATAACAGAGGCATATACATTAAGGAAATGTAAATTAAAAAGTTGGATATTCAGCAAGGGTATATGTCCCTAGGCCAAGTGAGTCCTGCAGATTTCAGGGGAACAGTCCAGACTGGGACATGGCTAGCTAGTGAGCTCAAGAAGGGAGTTACTGTGACTGGAGAAATAGTGCCAAAGACAGAGTAGTAGATGAGGTAAAAAAGCTAACTGAAACCCAGCTTTTGTTAGCATTTAGCACATCATAAGATCATTTGGCTTAATAAATCAAACAAAGATGTTGAACAGTTTTGTGCAGATATATGATGTGCTAAATTAGATTCTATCACCATCACTATAGATTCTGAGCTCCGTGATGAGTCTAGACTGTAAACTGATTAGGATATTGCTTTAAGGCATGACAATAATCCAAGTAAGAGATGATGGTGGCTTTTAAGTAGTAGAGATGAGAAAAAATGATTTGATTCTGGTTATTATTGAAAATTTTTCTGAAAGATTTGATGGGGATATGAAAGAAAGAGCGGTTATTAGAGACAATTCAAGGATGTTGGCTTAGTCAAATAGAAGAATGACATTGCCATTTGTGTCATGGAAAGACTTTGACAGCAAGTGTGTCTCATAAAGGTGAGAAGTTCAGTTTTGAAGATGTCAAGTGTAATTTGCTTATTAGTTATCTAGGAGTGTGTGTGTGTGTGTGTGTGTGTGTGTTTGCCATCTGTTTCCTGGCATTTAAATATATATGGACAGAATTCAGATAAGTCTATACTGGAGTTATAAATTTGAAAGTTGTCTACATAGAAATGGTATTCAAAGCCCTAACACTGAATCCGATTACCCAATGAGTTAGTATATATAGAAAAGAGGCAAAGAAAAGGAGGAAGAAAGAGGGAGAGAAGCTTGAAGTGGCTGGTGATGTCAGAGGAAACAAGGACAGGAGTATGGTCAGCAGAAACCAAGGTCAGTCAAGTCTAGGAAGTGGTTAAAGAAGGAGGGAGTAATCTACTGGGTGAAATAATGTTTATACGTCAAGTAGATTGCTGACAGAAAACAGATGGTTAGAATTAGCAATATTGATAGTCCCCGATGATTTGTAAAAGAGTCATACACAGCAATATACAAATGAATTCTGGTGGAAGTGTGGCTGATGGAAGCTGTTACAATAGTCTCAAAAGAGAATGGGAAAATAATAATCCAATAGGAGATGGAGAGTATAACACTTAAGAAGTTACCATAAATAGGAAGGAGAATGTGAGGTCAAGAGAAGCCTCTCTTTTTCTTTTTCATTTATAAAGAGAATAATGACATTTTTAATTCATAAGAATTACTAGTACGGAGGGGAGATATTAAAACAGACCAAAGACACATGAATCTTTGGAGCAATGTTCTTAAGTAGGTAAGGTAGAATGGGATCTAGAGGAAAGGAAAATCTTAAGAACAGAGGGTTCATCCTTACCAATAGGAGGATGATCAGAATTATGTAGGCACCAATTCTGGAAGTAGGTATATAAGGTGGCGGGATTTCATGGGAATTTTTGTTACTGGCTTCAATTTAATCAGCATTTGAAAAGTGTGCATTTACGTGTCCCTATACATTAAGAGTGCTCATCTGCTCAACATACTTATATTGCTTATGTAATAAATATCTGGAAAGAGTTAAAACACATGTAAAATTAAAGTCAATTTAAAATATACTCCACAAATCTGATTGTAATCTACTTACCTACTTATCTACTATTATCTACTTACCCAAACCAGCCTGCTCCCTACCTCACTCTTGTCTTCTGTGTTTAGAAAATTTAAAATCTGTGAGAAAATTTAACCAAGATAATTTGTGCATGTGTGTGGGTAAAGTGAAGGGTGGAGATAACTGCTCTTTTCAAGTCATACATTTTCTGTGGTAAATTTAAGAAATCATATTTAAATTTCTTTGTGGGTGTGCATATATAAAGATTGCAAGGTTATAGGTAATCGCTATTCACGTTTGCTTTGCAAAGCTCACAATTTATAATAGAAAATCTATCTGTTTAGTATGTGAAGGACATAGAAAAAATACAAGTGTTTATAAATTAAAGAAATCAGAGCCAGAAGACTGGGAAATTGTAGAAAGATTAATAATATCATTGAAAATCCAATTTGCCTGCACAGAAAATCATATTTTCTGAGAGAAATATTAATATCAGAGATGTCTAAATAGGTTATTTAAAGATTAAATTGCAAGGGATGGAGGAGTAAGAACAAAAACAAAGTCAAATAAATAAAAACTAACATTGCAGAAACTTGAGATCTTACAGATGACTGATTGTTATCTACTTAAATATCTTTTGATTAAGTAAATGTAAAAGATTATTCAGAGTTCTATATTTTGAAAGAATTTGTAGAGATCATTACGCACATTTTCTTTAAATTAGGCCAGAGTTATTTAAGACACCCTGCGGTGCCAAATAATGGGCAAGTGCCAGAATAGAAAAGTATGTAAATTTAATATGTATAAGCAGGATCTTACATCCTGGCTGTACAGATAGAGGGCAATGATGGAGTTTATTTTCACACATAAGATTAATGAACATGACTATCTATCTTTTCATTTCATTTTATTCCATTTTAAATGTTAGCATATTTTCAGGAAAATTTATGCAGCTATTGGATGAAATCTGTCTCAATATTTCCATATATTAGAAATACACAAATATGGCAATCACATTCATTTAGATTATGTTACGAACTCTGCAGCAATTTACAGACACTGGACAGGTTATGTTTTTCTTTTTGTAATTTTTAAATTCCTAAAGAGACTTCATCTTTCCCCCAAATGTCTTTTTGGGGAACTGTGTTCATGCGTGGAGGAGTTTTATTTTGTAAGTACTAGACAGTGTGATCTTTCATGTTTCTACTTGCTTCATGAGATAATAGCAAAACAAATGAACAAAAGCATGTTTACCTATCTTAAAATTATCTAGTTTTTTGGCTTTCAAATTTGCTTCAAAATAGAATAGTAAAGATATTTTTCATAGCTAAACAGCGTGCAGCCATGGTTTTTCTACCAAGCTTTAGTTTACATGGCATTCTTCATGGAGAAATCTGATCTTCAGTTATGCTTGTCCAACTTTTATCTATATTGTGAGGCCAAAATAAAAACTTTTGCTTACTGCCTGAGATTTAACGTAAAGCTTCCATTCAATAGTAATGATGAATTTTTCCCTTAGTCTACTTTCTTTTAGAACTTATATTATTTCATAGCTTACTGTATTTGTAGTTTTTGTCTCTGAACATAAATTTTAAACTTCTTGAAAACAAGAACTAAACTTTTATATTAGATTTGTCTTTATAGCTGCCAGTACCCACAAAGTAATTGGCCAAATATCAGGTCTTTAATTAATACTTCTTATCTAAGTAAGGCATCATTTCAATTTGTGTATTTGAGGTAGTAATAAACTGCATGTGAACAGTTTCTGCTAGTGTGGAGAAAATGAGAAAATAAAATATTTCATTTAAAAAAACGTCAAAATTTTATGATAATTGAAAGTAATTAAGGCGACTCAACAGTCAAATGGTTTAGACGATTTTTAGATTTAAAGCCTGGAGCATAGTAATATTGCTAATTTAAGTAAAGTTCATTTGTGGAGTAAAATTGTTTTATGTATTTTTGTCCATGGATATTTTGGTGTATCAGAGGGACCAGAATTAGTTTTAAGATCAGTAATTATCAGCAAGGATGTGGGAAATTTCACATTAACTCGAACCAGAATGCGAGAGAAACAAGAGCAAAGGCTGTGGCAGAACATTTTGGAACTTGCTGAATATGAGGCCATATTCTAAATTCCTTGGTGGCACCTGAGCCTTTTCATTAAAATAAGTTGTAAAGTCATCTACTGACAATCAGCAAGAACATCTTGGGAACAGGAACAAGTAGAAGATTGTGACAGTTGTTCACATGATGAATAACAAGCTTAATTATAAATACTAAATGTAAGATATTACCATTATCAACACAGTAGTATCAAAGTTAATATTGATTACTTGGCATTCTGCTACAATTTTATTTTATTTCATCTTCACAATGCTATCAGGGAGGCACTGTTATTAATATTTTTTCCCATTTTATAGAAGAGAGGTCTAGGAATTAAACTAAGGAAGTCACCAAAGGTCACACAAAAAGCAAAGGTGAAAGTTTTTATTTGAACTTTGGCTAACTCATGCCTTTGTTTTTTCTATCACAAAATATTGATATACCACACTTACAAATATTATCAATTTTGTAGTTATTTTAATTATTTTTTTGCTCCATACTCTAAATTGTGAATGTTGAATATTTCCTGTTACAAAGAAACAGACCAATGAAACAGGTGTAGATGTGGCACCAATCTCTCTACATCTCTCTTTCTCTTTCTCAATCTCTTTTATCTTCTATAGAAAGGAAAAAAATAGATGACATCTCTTCTGCAGTAAGATGTTAGAAGGAGGCCGGGCGCGGTGGCTTACACCTGTAATCCCAGCACAGATCACGAGATCAGGAGATTGAGACCATCCTGGCTTAACACGGTGAAAGCCTGTCTCTACTAAAAATACAAAAAATTAGCTGGGCATGGTGGCGGGCGCCTGTAGTCCTAGCTACTTGGGAGGCTGAGGCAGGAGAACGGCATGAACCCGGGAGGCAGAGCTTGCAGTGAGCCGAGATAGCGCCACTGCACTCCAGCCTGGGCGACAGAGCAAGACTCCGTCTCAAAAAAAAAAAAAAAGAAAAAAGACGTTAGAAGGAATACTACTTTAATATTTTGCTCCAAGCAGAGAAAAGTCTATAGTTAATGGCACAATACCTGGATCAAATAGCCATTTTGTCAGAGATGCTATTGATTAGAAAGCCTCTGAAGTTTTTGCACTGTTTTTTGCTCTCTCTTTTTTGCCTCTGGTCTCAACCGTAAACTTGGCAAGGCACTTCCTTCAGCTGATTCAATTGGTTGATTCCATGTCTCTCCTCATTTGTGGAAGGATATATCTACCTGAGAGGTGGTTGAATCTAGGTGTTAAGGGTCCAGGTTCTGAAAACAGACTGAATTTAAATTCCAGCTCCATCATTTACTTCCGCAGCCCTAAGAGAAAATTTATTAAGCTTTATCTGCCTCAGTTTTTTCACCTTTAAAATGAAGTTATTAATAATACTACCTACAAGATGAATTGTTATGAGGATTAGATGAGTTTATATATGTATTATTCTTAGTGTCCAATATATCCTAAGCTTTAACTTTTGCAATAAAAGAGATACTTGATCATAAATATTGAGTGTCACCAAAAATTAGAAAATAACTTTACATATGTCCAAAATAGCATTTTTCAATAGCATAGAACTCTGGTCAAAACTTTGCCCCAGCACTGTTAGATCTCCCATTGACTCATGTTTTTTGCTTACTATAACAAAATATGCTGCTTGCCTCCTGCTGGTCCCCAACCCCCAATGACAGATATGACCAGCTTTGCAAGTCACACAACGTGACGCAGCTTTCCCCATAAACCAGAATCCTAGGGGGAGGGGTTTGTCCAATCTTATTAAAGAAACTAAGCAAAATGAAACTTAAGCCTTGAAGACAAGGTTCTACTTTATTTGCCGTTTTCAGGATTTGAGTCACAGTGGCAGATGCTAATTTATATGCAAGTTTTATTCCCTGATGGTGTGCCAAAGTTTTGGTAAAAAATGAGAATGTTAATGAAAGAGCCGATCATCTTCAAGTGTTGAATTCAATATTCGTGCTGCATTCGAGGTAATTTCACGAAGAACTGTGGCATTAATAAATGTCTTTCTCATCCTAAAGCACTTATAAATGAAAATAATATTTGTCAAATTAAACCCTGTGTACTATATATAATACTATACAGAATCATGAGTACTATGTACACTTTCGGAAACAAGGTAGCCAAAACAGTTTCAGAATAGGGACACCTGAGATAATCACAAAAAGGAAACATTCTCCTTGTAAAAATTTTAAAAATAAATAGAAAACGTTTTTCTCTTTTGTTTTGACTGTACCTAAAGCCTTATAATTTAATTTATGTTAGAATATATGAGGATGGGGAAAAACACAGTAGTGAAACATTTAAGTTCCTTGGAGAGCTGCAGTCTGTCCAGACAAAGCTGAAGTGTCTGTTTTCCTGCAAGGATGGCAGTGAGTGAAAAAGTGATGTACAGAGACCTCTAGAGACTGGAAAGCTTAACTACAGTTAATACTATGCAGATAGGCTTCAATGCTGTACTGTAATTGAATTACTCAGGGAGCTATAACACAGCTATAAAGAGAACAAGGTACTATTCTATTCCTAGTGATGTGGTTAAAATCAGCATTCTCAAAAGCCTTATGCTTTTGGCTATTTTCTCTTTAATGATTTAATTAAGGTAAAATATGCTTTACATTTGCTCTACTGCAAAAACAATGATTAAACCACAGATGTTCATACCAAAAACATATAAATTATCAATGTGTGCAGAACATTTATTCTTAGAAAAACGTGGTAAGCATTTACCTGCTGCCGTGGCATAGGATATTCTATTTACTTTGGCTTTTACTTACTTGTTTTGGAAAGAAAAGCTGTCGTTATCACGTTTATTTTCCTTTTTTGATATATTGGATTCCTCCTTTTGATAGCTTTGATTATGGCTGGTAGATTTCTTTAAATACTCACTAATAATCCTATAAGAACTTATTGGAATGGAAATAACACAGTTTACAATCAGTTCTGTCTTCATTTCAACTAATTTTTTTGCTCTGTGCACGAAGTTATGAATGTTGAATATTTCCTGCTACAAAGAAACAGATCAAATAAACAAGAATAGCTGCTCTACTTCTGTCTCTGTCTCCATCTCTCTCCCTCCTTCTCCTCTCTCTCTGTCTGGCAGACACATACGTATTAGTGTATTAGCCATTAGTATTAGTCGAGGTTCTCCAAAATAACAATACCAATATCCAATATGGGGTGTAGCGTGTGTGTGTGTGTGTGTGTGTGTGTGTGTGTGTGTCTCAAGGAAGAGAGGGAGAGAGATAGATGATAGAGAGACAGAGAGAGAGAGGGAGACAGAGAGAGAGAGATTGATTTATTTTATTTTATTATTAGGACTAGAAAGTTCAAAATCTCCTGGTCAGGTTGACAGGCTTGAGATCCCAGGGAAGAATTGATGTTTTAGTCTCTAGCTCAAAGGCAATCTAAAGGCAAATTTCCTTTCAAGGCATTCAACCAACTGGATGAAACCCACTCACATTTGGGAGAGTAATCTTGTCTTCCTCAAAGTCTATTGATTTAATTGTTAATCACATCGGAAAGATAACTTTACTGCAACATCTAGACTACTGTTTGACTAAAAACTAAGTACCATGGTGTAGCCAAGTTGACACATAAAACTGACCATTGCGCTGAGTAATTCTGACAACTTTATAAAATTTGACTATTCTAAGTGAACCAAAGCAAATCAAAGCAAGCAAAATATTAACATAAATATACACACAAATAATACAATTATATAATAACTAGTGATGGTATATCCTAAGAATTCTACCTAATCACAGTAAAATATTTCTCAGAAAGACAAACACTGCAAAATGCCTACCTTGCAATTAAAGTTCACAGCTATCTGATGTTCAGCCTACCAAATTCTTTTATTATTTATTTCTTCTTGAAGAATAAAGCTAAATTTATAATTAAACTATTTTAATAATCACACCCAAGTTCTAGTTATTGAATCCAGACAGATATGTTTTCATTGATTACAGATTTTTTTCTTGTAGACATGTGGAGATCCCAGCGAAGAGTTGATTGAGATATATTTCCTTAATATTTCAAATAAAACTGGAAAGATACTTTAAGCCAAATATGTCATTTATTATTGAGCATATAAATAAGGATAATATGCTTGCTAATAATTTTATAATCTTTTATTTTTTAAAATCCCAAGTAATATAATTAGTTTTGAGTTATATTGACACAAAATGGTGTCCTCTTGGTTTGAAATTGAATTTTAATTAATATTACCTATGCAAAAATACTTGGAATATATTAGTGATACTGTCTTCAGCCACCATTATATATTTAAATATGAATTTGATATAAAATACTCACTGACTTTGCCTTTTAAAATCTGTGAATACTATTTGTATATTACATGATAGCGTATTTCTGAGAGTACTTTCCTCATCATTCTTTTTTGGATAGGCATCTGCATTCTCTTAATATGCAATGAGTAGAATATGACTATGGACTCATTTGACTAATTAAAAAAATTGCTCATGCACATAAAGTAGCTTGTATAAGATCATATTGCAATTTAGTATTCATGCCAGAAGTAAAACCTACATTTAGTAGTTTTGAATACAGTGTATAATCATTTGAGATTTACCAAGTGGGGATCGAGTAACTGGCGAAAAGTCTGTATACATTTTTTAAAACATGTTTAGATCATTATATTTATTTTTCAGCCTTATTAAGGTATAACTGACAAAATTTCAATATATTACAAATATACAATATGATTATTGAGTCTATGTCTAAATTGTGAAATGATTACCACAATCAATTTACACATCCATCACCCCACATAGTTGCTATTTTATGTGTTGGGGGAGGCATGCTGAAGACAGTTAAGATCTACTCTAGCAAATTTTAAGTAAACAATTCAGTATTATTAACTATAGTTGCCATGCTATACAGCTTCAGAATTTATTCATCTAGCAATCGAAAGTTTGCACCGTTTTACCTGCATCTCTCCACGTCCCCCACCTTCCCACTTCCTGAAGTCACCTTTCTACTCTACTTTTATGAGTTGAGCTTTCTTAGATTGCACATGTAAGTGAGATTATACAGTATTTGTCTTTCTGTGCCTGGCTTAGTTTATTCAGCATGACGTCTTCCAGGTTTATCCATGCTGTTGCAGGCGTTCCTTATTGTTTATGGCTGAATAATATTGCATTGTGTATATGTATCATGTTTTCTTTAGTCATTCATTAGTCTATATGCTTCTTAATTCCTTAAAGACCTGAGGAAATGGCAATATAATCCCTCATCTATATATTTTTAATAGACTACATCAGAATCTGTATAAGTCTCTAATAGAGATATTTTTAATATAGCTAGTAAAACACATAGTAAGATAAATTCTGAACAACAGTTCTGTGTTTTGTTTTGTTTTAAAGCTAAGTAGTTTAAGGCTAAATTGCAATCATGATCTGTAGTTAATGGACTGATTTTCTTTCATCCTGAATCCAAATGTAATATAAAATTGAATGAGAAGTATTTAAATACAAAATAAGCAGAGGTGCAGCATTAGATGGGCCAGATGAAATCTGAACGCAGAAAATATTGAGGGAGAAATCAGACAAAAAAATAAAAACATAAATGAGTACAGTGCTGATAAAAGTAGCTATAAAAAGTACCAGGGCACAGATATTTGCCCAAATGGAAAGGGCTATTTAGGAAATAGAAAGACTGTAGAGGATCGGGATCACAAATAATGACAAGTACAAGAGCAGCTTTATCTCTGAGCCTTCTTTCATCTGAAAGTAGGAATCATGTATCAAATTACCCTATGCAGTAATATGGCTGGAATAGCTGCTAATTGGAATTAACAGTTATCAATGTTGATGGAAATTTGTTTGGTACTGCCCATGCAAGGCATACTGAATATGAGAGAGACCATCTTAATATAACTTCAGGTTAACTGTAACTGACTGACAAAGAGATGTATTTCTGAAATCAGATATGTCAGAGAATGCAGGGAGCACCGTGGGAATAGCCTTCTCTTAAATGAGGGCAGAAACATGTGGTTACTGAGTTTGAAGTTGGTGCAAATAAGACATAAACTTTCCTTATTTCACCACCGTTTTTCAGGGAAGATCCTCAGTTATCTTATTTGCATTAATAACATTTGTTTGATTTTTGTATATCTGGTTGGGACAAAGAAAAAGACAAGAAGAAATTTTTTCGAAATGTTAGCCAAATCCCTTTTTCAAAAAAAATACATTTTGTTAGGAGTTGTTTTTATGGCTCAATCTCTAGTCATAATTTAATTTTAATCTTAAGCTTTTAATTAAAAAAAACTTTTAGTTTTTGTGGGTGCATAGTAGGTGAATATACTTATGGGGTACATGAGATACCTTAATACAGGCATGCAATCATAATAATATCTTGGTAAATGGGGTATCCATCCCCTCAATCATGTATCCTTTGTGTTACAAACAATTTGATTATACTCTTCTGATTATTTTTAAATGCACAATTAAATTATAATTGATTACAGCCATCCATTTGTGATACTAAATACACGGTCTTATTCATTCTTCCTATAATAACTACTTATATACCCATAAACCATCCTCACTTCTCCCTCCCCATCCTTCTACTCTCCATCTTCATGAGTTCAATTGTTTCATTTGTTAGCTCCCACGAATAAATGAGAACATGAAAAGTTTGTATTTCTGTGACTGGCTTATTTTAGTTAACATAATGATATTCAGTTCCATTCATGTTGTTGCAAGTTACAGAATCTCTTTTTTAGGGCTGGATAATACTCCATTGTATTTATGTGCCACATTTTCTTTATCCATTCATCTGTTGCTTCAAAATTTTGGCTATTGGGAACAGTGCTGCAACAAACATGGGAGTGCAGACATCCCTTTGATATACTGACTTCCTTTCTTTTGGGTATATACGTAGCAGTGGGATTGCTGGATCCTATGGTAGTTCTGTTTTTTGTTTTATGAAGAACCTTCAGACTGTTCTCCACAGTCATTTTACTAATTTACATTTCCACCAACAGTGTATGGGGGTTCTCTTTCTCCACATTTTTGTCAGCACTTGTTATTGCCTGTCTTTTGGATAAAAGCCATTTTAACTGGGGCGAGATGATATCTCATTGTAGCTTTGATTTGCATTTCTCTGATGATTAGTGACATTGAACACCTTTTCATATGCCTGTTTGCCATTTGTATGTATTTTGAAAAAATTCTATTCAAAATTTTTACCCATGTTTTAATTTGATTATTAGATTTTTAGCTATAGAGTTGTTTGAGCCCCTTATATAGTCTGGTTATTAATCCCTTCTCAGTGGATAGATTGCAAATATTTTCTCCTGTTCTGTGGGTTATCTCTTCACTTTGTCGATTGTTTCCTTTGCTATGCAGAAGCTTTTTAACTTGATGTGATCCCATTTGTTTATTTCTTTGCTTTGGTTGACTGTATTACTCAATAAATTTTTGCCCAAACCAATGTTCTAGAGAGTTTCTTCAACATTTTCTTCTAGTAGTTTTATAGCTTGAGGTCTTAGATTTCCATCTTTAATCCATTTTGATTTTATTTTTGTATATGGTGAGAGATATGGGTCTAGTGTTATTCTTCTGCATATGGACATCCAGTTTTTCCAGCATCACTCATTGAGGGGATTGTCTTTTCCCCAATGTATGACCTTAGCACCTTTGACAAAAATTAGTTCCCTGTAGGTGTATAGATTTGTTTATAGGTTCTCTATTCTTTTCCATTGGGCTATGTGTCTGTTTTGATGCCAGTACAATGCTCTTTTGGTTACTATATAACCTTGTAGCATAATTTGAAATAATGTAATATGATTCTTCCAGTTTTGTTCTTTTTGTTTAGGATAGCTTTGGCTATTCTGGCTCTTTTGTAGTTCCATATAAATTTTAGGATTATTTTTTCTATTTCTGTAAAGAATGTCATTGGTATGTTGATAGGGATTGCATTGAGTCTGTAGAGTTCTTTGCATAGCATAAATATTTTAACAATATTGATTCTTCCAATCTATGAAAATTGAATATCTCTCCATATTTCTGTGTCCTCTTCAATTTCTTTTTCAATATTTCATAGTTTTAGTTGTAGAGATCTTTCACTTTTTTAAGTATTTAATTTCATGAGTGGCTATTGTAAATGGGATTACTCTTTATTTCTCTTACAGATTGTTCACTGTTGGAATATAAAAATGCTAGTGATTTTTGTATGTTGATTTTGTATCCTGCAACTTTGCTGAATTTTTTTTTTATCAGCCTAAAAGTTTTTGGGGTGGAATCTTCAGGTTTTTCCAAAGACAAGTTATATCACCGGCAAACAAAGATAATTTGTTTTCTTCTTTTTCAATTTGGAGGGTCTTTATTTCTTTCTCTTGTCTGGTTGTGCTATCTAGGACTTCTAATACTATGTTAAATAACAGTGATGAAACTGGGCATCCTTGTCATGGTTCAGATCTAAGAGGAAAGGCTTTCAGTTTTTGCAGATTCAGTATGATACTAGTTATGAGTCTGTTGTATATGGGTTTTATTATGTTGAAATATGTTTGTACTATACCCAGCTTTTTGAGGATTTTTATCATGAAAGGTTGTTGAATTTTATTGCATTCTTTTTCAGCATCAGTTGAGATAATCATATGGTTTTTGTCCTTCATTCTGTTGTTAACATGTATGCATTGATTGATTTGTGTATGTTGAACATCCTTGCATCCCTGGATAAATCACACAGTCATGATGAATAATCTTTTTAATGTATTATTGAATTATTTTGTTGAAGATTTTTGTGTCAAATTTTATCAGAGATATTGGGCTGTAGTTATCCTTTATTTGATGTGTCTTCATCTGGTTTTGGTATCAGGATAATACTGGCCTCATAGAATGAGTTTGGAAGTATTTCCTCCTCTATTTTTCAGATTAGTCTGAGCAGGATGGATATATATTTTTTAAATGTTTAGTAGAATTCAGCAGTAAAGCCACAGGGTCTCGGGCCTTTCTTTACCATCTGACTTTTTGTTACAGCTTTGATCACATTACTTCTTATTGGTCTGTTCCTGTTTTGGATATCTTCATAGTTCAATATTGTTAGGTTGTATATATCTTGGAATTTATCCTTTTCCTCTAGATTTTCAAATTATTGGCATATAATTACTCATACTAGCCACAAATGATCCTTTGAATTTCTGTGGTGTCAGTTGTAATGTCTCCTTAAACTCTGATTTTGTTTTGTTCTTCTCTCTTCTTTTCTTAGTCTGGCTAAAGGTTTGTGAATTTTGGTTAACTTTTCAAAACAACAAGCTTTCATTTCATTAATCTATTGTATTGTAGTCTTCATTTCAGTTTCCTTTATCTCTTCTCTGATTTTTATTACTTATTTTCTTCCACTAGTTTTGAGTTTGGTTTGCTCTTGCTTTTCTAATTATTTAAGATGCATCATTAGGTTATTTGTTAGAAAGTTTTCTTCTTTTATGAAGTATGCATTCATAACTATAAATTTCCTCTTAGTACTGTTTTTGCTGTATCCCATAGGTATTGGTACGTTGTGTTTCCATGATCTTTTTTTTAAATGATTTTTTCAATTTTCTTCTAAATTTCTTTATTGATCCATTGGTTATTTAGGAGCGTATTGTTTCATTTTCGTGTGTTTGTATGTTTTCCAAAATTCCGCGTTATTGATTTCTTGTTTTATTTGATTGTAGTCAGAAAAAATTCTTGATATTATTGTAAATTTTTGGAATGTTTTAAGACTTGTTTTGTGACCTAACATATGGGTCTATCCTTGAGAACGATTCATGTGCTGAGGAGGATAATGTATATTCTACTGCCATTGGATGAAATATTTTGTAAATACCTATTGGGTATATTGATTATATAGTACAGGTTAATTCTGATTTGTCTTTGTTGGTTTTCTATCTGGATGGTCTGTCCAGTGCTGAAAGTGGGGTATTTCAGTGTCCAGCTATTATTTTATTGAGGTCCATCTCTCTCTAGCTCCAGTAATATTTGCTTAATATATCTGGGTGCTCCAGCATTGGGTTCATATATATTTACAATTGTTATGTCCTCTTGGTAAGTTGACCCTTTTATCATTAAATAATGACCTTCTTTGTCTCATCTTACAGGCTTTGCCTTTTAATCTATTTTGGCTGATATAAGTATAGCTACTTTTGCTCTTCTTTGGTTTCAATTGGCATGGAATGTCCTTTTCCATCTCTTTATTTTCAGTCTTTGTGTATGTTTATAGGTGAAGTGTGTTTCTTGAAAGATCATTGGATCTTGTTTATCTTTTGATTGGAGAGTTTAGTCCATTTCAATTCAATGTTATAATTGATAAGTAATGACTTACTCCTGAAATTTCATTATTTGTTTTCTGGTTGTTTTGTGGTCTTCTCTTTCTTCATTTGTTCCTTCTTGTATTCCTTTTAGTGAAGGCGATTTTCTCTGGTGGTGTGATTTAATTTCTTCCTTTTTATACGACCAGGGTGTCACTGTTGGTTATTCAAGGCCAAAGGCTCTTTAGTCAGCAGGTGATGAATCCTGCTTGAACTGAGTCATTTCCTTTGAGGTAGTGGGTTCTCTTCTGGCTCACAGTGTGTCTAGAAATGCTGTCTGGGAGCTAGGGCCTTGATTGGAGGCCTCATGACCCTGCCCATTACTTTATCCTATTGCGGCTGAGCTGGTATCCAAGATGCAAGACAAAATCCTCTTTACTCTTCACTCTTCTCTCCTTAAGTAGAAGTAAGGAGTCACTTTTGTTGCTGCAAGCTGCACTACCTGAGGTTGGGAAAGGGTTGGTTAAAGCACTCCTGTAAACATGCTAGTTGGTGTCTCTCTAAGTCCCATGTCATCCTAGTCCACTAGCTCTAAGCCCAGCCCAGCACTAGGACTTGCCTAGGAATTGAAATGCTTCTGTCCTAGACTGCCTTTCAATTTTACTTATGGCCCCAGTGCATTTTGACCTTTCGTGGTGAAGCTTGCTGATAATCTCAAGTTTCAACCACTGGGATGGGTGATTCCTCTCTAGCAAGAGCTTGGTCAAATGCTGCCTCTCGGGGTGGGCACCAGCTGAGCCCAGCAAACCTTTGCTGTCTGCTGTGATAGGGCAACACTGAGTTCATTGCCAATTTCCACAGTCATTGTGCTCTCCCTCCCCCAAGAACACAGATTCTCCCTCCACACCGCAAAACCACTGCTGGGGAATGGAGGAGAGGTGCATCAGTAATTCAAGACTGTCCTTCCAACCTTCTTCGGTGCCTCTTTCAACAATATGAAGTTAAAACAAGGTACTATGATTGCTAACCAGATTTTTGGTTCTTGTATTGGTACGTTTGTGTCTGTAGTTTGTTGTTAAAATTTGGTGTTTCTGCAGCGGGGGATGATTGGTGGAAGCTTCTATTTTGCTGTCATGCTCTGCCCTCTTATGGCTCCAGCCAAATTTTTATTATGCACATATATAAACACTGGAGAAGTCCATAACCCAATTTCTCATATAATCATATCTCTGGGAAACTAACATCCTGCTCAAGAAAATAAATACAGAAAAATTCTGCCTCTTCAAAGTAATATTATTCTCACATGTGTTACCATTGATTAGTTTTGCCTGTCCTTGAATTTTATATAAAGGGAATCATGAAATATTTACACTTTTGTGTCTGATATTTTATTCAATCTGGTTTTCAAATTTTTCAATATTCTCTTTTATGAGAAATATATCCCTTGCATTGTTATGCTGAATCCCCGTTTGTCAACAAAACAAAAAATAAAAACCATAATCCTCATATCCATTCTCTTATTGATTGAAATGTGGGTTGTTTCCAATTCACAGTTTTTTAAAAACTTTGATTAACATTATTGTATGTGTCATTATCTTTGGATTTCTTATGTATACACCAAAGAGTGTAACTCTTGGATGATGGTTTTGGCATGCATTTAACTTTATTAAAAATGCAAAATAATTTTTCAAAGAGGTTGTAAAAATTTACCCTCTTATGAGAAATGAAGGGGAGTTCTATTTGCTCACAACCTTTCTAACACTTAAAATCACCTAAAAGAGATTCACTTCAACTGTACAGATGTGCACAGACTGAGGGTAAACATGGAAAAATGTTACTTCATGTAAACGGAAACCAAAAAAGAAAAAAAAAAGCAGAAATAGCTGTACCTACACAAAATACACTTTAAGCCAAATATTTTAGAAAGCTAAAAAGAAGGCTATTATATAGTATTAAATGAATGGAAACATCAAGATGATGTAACAATTATAAATATATATACATCTAACATTGAAACATCCAAATATATAAGGCAAATATTAATACAGCTAAAAGGTGTGATAGACTGCAATACAATAATAATGGGGAACCTCAATACCTTACTTTCAGCAATGGAGAGATTATTCAGTCAGAAAATTACCAGAGAAACACTGAAGTTAAACCACACTCTAGACCAAATTGACCTAACAGAAATTTACAGAACATTCCATCCCACAGATATGAAGCATTCTCCAGGATATATCACATATCTGTCTACAAAAAAAGTCTCAACACATTTTAAAAAATTAAAATGATACCAAGTATCTTTTAGACTACAATGGAATAAAATTAGATATCTATAATAAGGGGAACTTTGGAAACTACATAAATACATGAAAATTAAACAACATGCTTCTGAACAACCAATGGGTTAAAAAATAATTTAAAAAATTTTTAAAGTAAATGAGAATTGAGAAAAGAAATAAAATACAGACTACATGAAATAGAAAAGATCAATAAAACAAAGACTTGGTTTTTTGAAAATATAAACAAAATAATCAAACCTTTAACTAGACTGTGAATAAGAAGAAGTAACTCAAAAAATAAAATCAGAGATGTAAAGGAGGCATTGCAACTGATGCCTCAGACATATAAAGGATCTTACAAGACAGTTATGTAAAACTATATGCCAATAAATTGAAAAAATCTTGAAGAAATGGATAAATTTCTGGGCACAGACAATCTACTAAGATTGAATTACACAGAAATAAAAAAAGGTAAACAAATCAATAGTAAGTAATGAGACTGAATCAGTAACAAAGTCTCCTATCAAAGAAAAGCCCAAAACCTGATGGCAAATACTAATTTTTTTCAAACTGTCCCAAAAAACTGAAATGGAGGGAATTCTTCCCAACTAATCGCTTGAGGCCATCATTAATTACTCTAATACAAGAAACAGAGAAAAGCACAACAAAATGGAAACTACAGGCCAATACTCCTGATGAACATAGATGCAAAAATCCTCAACAAAATGCTAACAAACCAAATTCAACAACACATTCAAAAGATCTTTCAACATAATCAAGTGGAATTAATCTCAGGGATGTAAGAATAACTCAGCATACCCAAATCAATAAACATGATGTCACATTAATAGAATCAAGGACAAAACTTATATAATCATTTCAAACGTGGTAAAAATCATTTAACAAAATTCAGCACCCTTTTATGGTAAAACTCTGAACAAATTAGGTATAGAAAGAACAAACCTCAACACAACAAAGGCCGTACGTGACATACCCCAGCTAACATCCTACTGAATGGGGAGAAGTAGAAAGCTTTTCCACTAAGATCTGAAAATAGACAAGGGTTCTCACTTTTACTACTTCTATTCTATATAGTAGTGTAAGTCCTAGCCAGAGCAATTAGGCAAGATAAAGAAATAAAGAGCACATAAACTGGAAGAGAAAGTAAAATGTTTCCTACTTGCAGACAACATGATGTTATATATAGAAAACCCTAAAAATTCCACTAAAACTATTAAAACTAATAAATTTCATAAAGTTGCAGGACAAAAAATCAACATATAAAAAAGTAGCATTTTTATACGCCAAGTAAACTATCTGAAAAAAATCAATAAAAGTAATTCCATTTAAAATAGCTACAAAAATTAAAAAGTACCTAGGAATAAATTTAACCAAGGAGACAAAATACATCTTCAATGAAAAATGTAAAACACTGATGAAAGAAACAGAAAAGGACAGAATCAAATAAAAAGAAATCCTGTGTTCATTGATTGGCAGAATTAATGTTAAAATATCCATACTATCCAAAAGGATCTGCAGAGTCAATGAAATCCCTATTAAAATACTAATGACAGTCTTCACAGAAATAGAAAAAAAAAAGATCTTAATATTTGTATGGGACCACAAAAAACCTGGAATACTCAAAGCAATCTTGAGCAAAAAGACCAAAGCTAGGCAGGGTGTGGTGGCTCACACCAGTAATCCCAGCACTTTGGGAAGCTGAGACCAGCCTGGCCAACAAGTCAATACCCCGTCTCCATCTCTACTAAAAATACAAAAGTTAGTTGGGTGTGGTTTTGCATGCCTATAATCCCAGCTGCTCAGGAGGCAGAGCCAGGAGAATCACTTGAACCTGGGAGGCGGAGGTTGCAGTTAGCTCGGATTATGCCTCTGCACTCCAGCCTGGGCAAGGGCAAGAGTGAGACTTCCTCTCAAAAAAAAAAAAAAAAAAAAAAAAGGGAAAAAAGAACAAAGCTAGAGGCATGATACTACATTACTTCAAAATATTCTGCAAAGCTATAGTAACCAAAACAGCCTGGTGCTGGCATAAAGACAGATACAAAGACCAACGGAACAGACTAGAAAACCTAGAAATAAGTTCATGCATTAACAATCAATTGATTTTCAAGAAGGCTGCCGAAAACACACATTGGAGAAAGGATAGTCTCTTCATTAAATGGTGCTGGGAAAACCTGATATCCACATGCAGAATGAAGCTAGACCCCTGTCTCTCACCATATACAAAAATCCACTCAAAATTGATTAAAGACTTAAATATAAAACCCCAATTTATGAAACTACTAGAAGAAAACATAAGAGAAACACTTCATGACATTGGTGTGGGCAAATTTTTTTTTGATAAGACCTCAAAAGCTTAGGTAGCAAAGCAAAAATAGACCAATGGGATTACATTGAACAAAAAAACCTCTGCACAGCAAAGGAATCATTCAACAGGGTGAAAAAGCAACCTAGAGAATGAGAGAAAATATTTGCAAACAATGTACCTGATAAGGGGTTAATATCCAGAATATATAAGAAACTCTAGCAACTCAATAGCAAAAAAAAAAAAAAAGTAATCTAATTTTAAAATGGGCTAAATATCTTAAAAGATATTTCTCAACCAAAGACATACAAATGGCCAATAGGTGTGTTAAACATACTCAAAATCCCTAATCATCAGGAAAATACAAATCAAAACTATAGGGAGATATTACCTCATCCCAGTTAGAATGGCTATCATCAAAAAGATGAAATATAACAAATCTTGGCAAGGATGTGGATAAAGGGGAATTCTTATACACTGTTGGTGGGAATGTACAGCCATTATGGACAACAGCATTGAGGTTTCTCAACAAATTAAAAACAAAACTGTAACATGAGCCAATAATCCCACTACTGGGTATATGCCCAATGAAAAGGGAATCAGTATGTTGAGGAGATATGTGTACTCCAACGTTTATTGCAGCACTGTTCACAAAACCAAGATAAGGAATCTACCTAACTGTCCATTAATGGATAAATAGATTTCTATATATATGCACAAAGGAATAGTATTCAGCCATAAAAAAGAATGAAATCCTGTCATTTGATGCAACATGGATGAAGCTAGAGGACATTGTTCAGTGAAATAAACCAACACAGAAGGCAAATACCACTTGATCTCATTCATGTGAAATATTAAAAAGTTAATCATGTAACGTAGAGAGTAGAATAGTGGTTACCACTGGCTGGTCAACAGGAATGAAGATACAGTTACATACAAAGAGTAAGTTCTGGTGTTTTATTGCTCTATGAGGTGACTATAGGTAAAAATAATGTATTGCATATTTCAAATAACCCAAAGAGAAGATTTTGAATGTTCTCAAAGAAATAATAAAGGTTTGATATTATGTATATGCTAATTACCCGATTTGATTATTACACAATGCATACATATATGGAAACATCACACCGTCCCCCAAAAATGTATACTTCTATGTCAATTAAAAACAAAATAGAACTTTAAAAAAGTTTGCAATTCATGGGTTGTAATGGTGTCTCATGGTTTTAATTGACGTTTCTCTTGTGACATTTGGATGAAGTGTCAGCTCAAGCATTTGACCAGCTTGTTTATGTGCTTGCTGATTAATTTGTTAAAGTCCTTTATATAGTATAGATCTGAGTTCTTAGTCAGTCTCAGCCTGACTTAACCTGCCTTTTCATTTACTTAGCAATGTCTTTTGCTAAGCCACAATTTTGAGTATTGATGAAGTCTGATGAATTTTTTCACATATGTTTAGTGCTTTTTGAATCTAGTTTAAGAACTACTTATAAAATAATCTCCAATGTTTTCTTCTATAGACTCTGTGGTCTTATCTTTCACATATTAGTGTAAAATCCATCTTGAATTAATTTCAGGATATGGTATGTGGGAGAGCTAAAATTCATTTTTTTTTCTAAATGCATATCCAGTGTCTCCCAGATTTTCTTTCCACATTGAATTGCATAGGGATCTTTGTTATAAATTAGTGATTCTGTACATGAACATCTATTCTGGATGCTATTCTTTTCTTTTTTTCTATCTTTATATGTGTCTTTGCATTTTTATATAATTTTTATTATCCTTATTGATTTCTACACAAATACCAGTTGGAACTTTGATTGGGATTATTTTAAGCGTGTAGTTCAATTTAGGATAATTGATATTTTAAAATCTTAGGTTCTGCAATTCCTTAACATAGTTCTTGTTCTCCATGCCTGTAGATCTCACTTGGATTCTCTCAGAAAAATTCTGTAGTTTTCAGTGTAGTGGATCTTTAGCACACTTTAAAGAATTAATTTAATAAGAATTTATTATGATAATTACAGTAAATAATAATTTTAATCTACCAAGAAATTATTATTGCCTTTTTGGTTTCCTTTTATTTCTTTTTGTTTAATCCTGTTGTTGCTAAATTGCCTATCTTCCTTGTATTTCAATTCTTCAAAGGGTTAAGTGAACTGAAGAATTATTAACCTGCTTCTTTCTTTCTTTTTTCTTTTCTTTTCTTTTTTTTTTTTTAGAGACAGTCTCGCTCTGACGCCCAGGCTGGAGTGCATTGGCATGATCTCAGCTCAAAGCAACCTCCTGGGTTCAAGCGATTCTCCTGCCTCAGCCTCCCGAATTGCTGAGATTACAGGTGCTCATTACCACAACCGGCTAATTTTTGTATTTTTGGTAGAGACGGAATTTCGCCATGTTGGCCTTGCTGGTCTCAGAGCTCCTGACCTCAGATGATCCGCCCACCTTGGCCTCCCAAAGTGCTGGGATTACAGGCATGAGCCACTGTGCCTGGCAACCTGCTTCTTCTTTCTAAATGCTGTTCTCATCATCCCAACTGCGAGGAAAAATTTGGTATCTTTCTATGGGTGAAGATATATTAATTGAACTACTGTTCAGAAGACAACAACCCTGCCACAAAGCATAAATCACAACTCCAGGAGATGGGCAATTGTGACTTTATCCACTGAGGCCTCTTTTTATGGTTTTCTAGCAAGGCCCGGTCTTTCTGTGTGGTGTCTATTGCCACAGACTTAAAAGTCACTGGTTCTCCATCCTTGGCTTTTAGGGTCCCGTGAACACTTTCCTGGAGAAGGGTATTAATCACATGTCTCAGGAGGGAGCTCATCCCCAAGGGTGAGGGGTGTGTTTGTGAGTACTGGTGTCTGCAGCCCCACTGCCAGTTCATCTTGTAGGCCGGAGAAGCTGACCAGAAGCATGGGGTCCTGTAATCTGCAGGTATGGGAAGCCAGGATTGTGTTTCTGTAATAATAGGTATTTAACAACACTTAGAGAAGCCATTGCATTACCTATAAAGCTTAAACTTTCCAGTACTTTTCTCATTTGAAATATTTAGCAACGATGTTTGGTGTTTGCATTTATTTTGTTTCTCCAAAATATATACCTCCGTATTGACTGGGCAAAAAAAAGATGGCACTAAATTTCAGAATATCTTTTCCTTAATTCAAACACTACTCAATTGTGATGTATTCAAATTAACCCTGTTTCTTTTACTTTGCATTCTATACTTCAGTAAATGTTAACTAAGTAATAAATCTAGTGAACATTTTAAAAAATACACATCTTTGGGGATATTTAAGGAATTATATAGGCATACACTATTCAGTGGACACCAATTTGCTTCAGTATGTATTGAACCTTTGCACTCCACATCTAGAGAATATAAAGTTCAAAATTCTCTCAACGGTGTGAAAATTTAATTTATCTATATAAATATAACTGAAGGTATTGGCATTATTCAATTCTGAGAAAATAGTTGAAGAAAACATGAAACTATGCAGATAAAATATGTGCAAAATAAAATGATTTATTGAATAAACCATGGTCTGGGTGTCAGTCGTCCTTTACACGTGCTTTGATTTCACCCAGTATGGCTTGTTCCCTCAGATGCAGGGAGTGCTGTTGGCAAAAAGGCTTTAGCTACAGCCCCTTCAGAATTGCCTCAGATGTGGATGGCTGCTTTGTCCAGTCATGATCTTAGGTAGTAGCTCACATCCAGTAACTGGTCCAAGTGGTGATATAAAATCTAACTCGAGATCAACAACTCTGAGATACCATTCCAGCTCTACAAATTCCTGTAATGTTGACTGAAGTTTTGAGGCCTGAATCTAACTTGACTTTTTTGCTCAATCCTCCCTCTCCTCCCTCCCCTCCGAGGACCCTCAGTAAGTATTCTGAACATTAAATTATTTCAGAATCTGCTCCCCACTGGGGAAAAAAAAAAACTTGCAACAAATCCTATTACTTAATTCAAACATTGCTCCATATATTTGGAGGTTATATATTATTTGACCTCTATAAGTTTATGAATAACATGTACTATTCAGTGTTGTAAATTTTACCATTATTAAATAACCAGCTTTACTTACTCTCTTGGGTGATTTTATCTTTTATCTTTTTTTTTTTTTTTTTCTGAGACAGAGTCTCGCTCTGTCACCCAGGCTGGAATGCAGTGGCCCGATCTCGGCTCACTGCAACCTCCACCTCCCAGGTTCAAGCAATTCTCGTGCTTCAGCCTCCCCAGTAGCTGGGACTACAGGCACACACCACCACACCTGGGTAATTTTTGTAGTTTTTTGCAGAGACAGGGTCTTTCCATGTTGACCAGACTGCTCTCAAACTCCTGAACTCAAGTGTTTTACCTGCTTTGGCCTCCCAAAGTGCTGGGATTACAGGTGTGAGCCACCATGCCTAATTTTATCTTAAATTGTACTTTCCTGAGATATATTTTGCTACTTCTACTTTATTTTTCTTTTGCTGTTTATTCTTTTATTTTTATACATCTCTATTCTTTTCTCTTAGGTGTTTATTTTGTGCATAGTGTATATTTAGACCTTTACAACATTCAATTTAATAGTGCTCTTTTAATAGGGGAGCTGAAATCCTTTATGTTTACAGCTGTAATTTACATGTTTGGTATTACTGACTTCATATTTGTATTTTTCTTATTTGTATTTCCCTTTTTTTCTATTTCTTCCTATGTGGTTTGTATTTCACTTTTATTCATATTATTCAGTGCTTTGAGAGACATATGCCACTCTTATATTTGGCAGTGGTTAACATAAAGTTTAAAGTAGGAACCTCTGCTTTTCAAAGCCTGGCAGACAGTATGTGGGGAAGCTAACTTCACAACTAAAAGAGCATAAGCAGTATATCTCTTGTGCATTTTAATTTACACTTGATCCTAAGAAACTCATTATAAGAAATGAGTTTTTCAACAGTTCTTCCTTAGTAACATAAGGCAATGAGCAATTTAGATACACAAGAACATTTTACATTTTTAGATCCAAATTTAGTAATTTTAGAATTGTTTTGTTTACATTTTTTATATGACTAACACTAAACTAACTCAAATATAGTTTGATGTTGAAAGGAATGGCGCTCAGTTTGTGAGTATTTATGTAGAATCCCTCTTGTAAACCAAAATAATTTCACTGAAATCAACCGTAGTTTACTTAACAACACATTTAGAAAATACTGTGTATGTTTTCCCAGCAAACCAACCGTTCAGAACCCGCAAAATTGATGTTTCTGCTAACCTTTTCATCAAAAGCTGTTTCAAAGAAGATGTGAGAAGATTAGCAAATGATTAGTTTAAACTTTCTATTTTAGTGTAATCAAATAGTTCACATTTCTAGATTGCATTTTTTTAATCGACCAGTATTATTTTCTTACTCAGCCCAGCTGTTTGTGACAGACGAAATAGTGCAATTTTGGAAGTGGCAAGAGAAGCTTATAAACTAACTACAGAGATGGAAAATTACCTCCACTGCTAAATACCAGGGGAATCTACAAGATAAGAGTAAAATGGAATGTCACAATTCACAGCAATGGCATAAAACAACTGGACTTGGGGGAGTACTTGACTATTTGCTTTGGCCGCATTCTATAATACACTCCAACTAGTGTTTTTCTTTTCTTTTTTTTTTTTTTGTATTTAGAAACTTAAAGTTTCCAGTATATTAAAGGAATGAAATGTATTTCTGGCCTTATCAACATAGTTATTTCTCACTCAGAACATTTGATGTGTTCTAGTCTGTCATTAATTACAAAAAAGATTAGACATAAACATAAGTGGTACAAAACTATTATCAGTTTTCATTTTAATAGTGTTTTTAAACATTAACTTAATCATATTTTTTACTGAATTTTTACTATTTTGATGTGAAAATTGTGTATAAATTAATGCTTTCTCAAAAGACCAAATTAACCATCAGTCTTAATGTTACTACCATATATTCTATGTTCATGTAAGAGAACATTGTAATTCTACAAAAGGATAAGAAATAATAGATGTGGGTCTGTAATATGATGATAGCATATAACAAAACGGAATTATTCTCAATTTCAGATAAAGTTGAAGGATAGAAAGTTTAAATCATTAAGATCGCAAATTGTTCATTGGTCTATGAAATTACCCAAATTCATCAGTGACATTTTGCAGTGTTCTTGATGGTCATGAAGTGGGAGGAGGAAGCCATGAACAGCTATAAGACTTAGATTTATTTAGCTAAACAGATAAAGCATTTATTGGCAGAAAGAGGGTGCACAGAAGAAGGGCTGAAAAACAGAAAATGGTTAGGGGTCTTTTCCTTTGCCCCCAGATTTCTTGTGAGAATGCTCAACTAATGGTGAGATTTTATGCAGAGTTAAGATTAACTCTTGTGATGCCATTGTCCTTTATACTTAGTCTACACTATCTTTCTGCAGGAATGTATACTAATACAAAGTGTGTTTCCATGGAAGATAAAACTTACAGACTTTATGTTCTTCTGGTTCTTGAACCAAACTCAATGTTCCTCAATATAGTTGAAAAGCAGAGTCATTTTCCAGAGAAATGTTATTGCTCTGGTTTGCAAAGATCCCACAAAACACATCCTTCTATCTAACTCTTCAACTCAAACTTTAACTCTTCATTTGTCTCCATTGAATAAGATAAGACCATAGTTTTCAAAGGTGCATCATGATCACCTAGAAGGCCTGGTTAAAAAGCACATTGCTGACCCCTCTTTTCCGGTTTCTCAATCATGTTTCTTGGTGATGCTCATGCTACCAGTCCAGGGACCATATTTTGAGAACACTGGATTGAAGAAACATAACTCACTTTTTATGCCATGTATATTTAAACTTTGCCAATACAATTTCAGAAAAATCTGTTCAGACCTCAAAAAAGGAAACTAATATACAAATGCTTTAATTCTGTTTAATTGAAAATGTAATTCACATTGTTAGGGTACTTACACTAATAACTCCTATACACACACATATAATCTTTGCTATAATTTTTATACATAATAGCCATACATCACAGTGATTTTTCTCTCTTAAACACTGCGCATTGCAAGAAGTTATCAAGTATTTTGTTTGTCTGTAACAGTTTTACACATTTATTCCTTTTTATTTATATGTAAGTGAATCCATCTTTCAGTCATGGCAGTCATGGTGACTACCACTATCAAAGAATATTATTCATAGCTTGTCTAATAGCCTATAAAATTAAGGTTAGAAAATAACCAAATATCTCAGGCAATCTAAGACATGGAGTGAATAGAATTATACTTTTATTAAAGTCGTTTTCTCTATTCCAACAGTAAGTAGAAATCTAAAGAATAACTATTAATAATGGTGATGTTAGATACATCATTGACTACTATATACCCCAAAGTCCTTATCTCCATAATTTTTCAGAAGATATATATATAAATTTCTATATTTATATATAAATCTATATATATAATTTTAAAAATTATTTTTATTGTGGAAAAATACACATAAAATTTACCATCTTAACCTTTTTAAGTGTACTGTTCAGTGACATTAAATACATTCGTATTGTTATGCAGCCATCACTACCATCCAACTGCAGAATGCTTTTTCATTTTGCATAACTGGAACTCTGTATCTATTAAATAATAATTTCCCATTCTTCTCTTTCTCCAGTCCCTGGCAAGCACCATTCTACCTTATGTCTCTATGGTTTGTCTACTGTACATCCCTCATATAAGTACAATTACACAGTATATTTTTGTGACTGGCTTACTTCACTTAGTATAATGTTCTCAAGGTTCATCCATGCTGTAGGATATGTAAAATTGCCTTTTTTAAGGTTGAATAATTTTTTTTTGTTTGTATATACCACATTTTGTTTACTCATTCATCTGTGGCCTCCACATTTTAGCTATTGTGGGTAATGCTGCTACAAACATAGTTATACAAATATCTCTTTGAGACTTCATTTTTAATTATTTGGGTATATATCCACAGGTAGAATCGCTGGATCACATTGTAATTGTATTTTTAAGTTTTTGAGGAAACTTCGTACTATTTTCCACAGTGCTGGTCAGTTTTCAATTCTCACTAACAGTACTCAAGTGTTCTAATTTCTCCACATCCTTGCCAAGACGTTCCTGCTGTTTAAATAGCAGTATTTTAATGGGTGTGAGGTGGTATCTCATTGCAGTTTTGATTTGCATGTCCCTAGTGATTAATAATGTTTAGTATCTTTTTGCCTGTGCTTATTGGCCATTCATATATCTTCTTTGAGAACTGTCTATTCCAGTAATTTTCCCTCATTTGAATCAGATTGCTTTTTGTTGTTGAGTTTTGGGATTTGTCTACCTATTCGGATATTAATACCTTATCAGATATGTGATTTTGAGTATTTTTTCCCATTCTGTAGGTTGGATTTTACTCTGTTGTTAGTGTTCATTGAGGCACAAAAGTTTTAATTGTCATAAAGCCCAATTTGTCTATTTTACCCTCTGTTGCTTTTGCCTTTGGTGTCATGTCCAAGATATTGTCAAATCCAGCCTGTGAAGCTTTTCCCCTATATTTTCTTCTAAGAGCTTTAGAGGTTTAGAACCTATGTTTACATCTCTGACCCATTCTGAGTTAATTTTGTACATGGCATTAGGAACGGACCCAACTTAATTCCTTTGCATGTGTGTATCTAGTTTCATAGCACCATTTGTTGAAAATACTGTCCTTTCTTTATTCAATAGTTTGGGCATCCTTGTCAACATTATTTCATCAAATATGTGAGTTTATTTCTGGAATCTCTCCAATTCCATTGATCTATATGTCTGTCATTATGCTGGTACCACAC